>NC_000001.11:229972000-230123515 GCF_000001405.40 Homo sapiens
TCCACATACATACATCCCACTCACATGTACATACACTCCACCCACATACACACAGGCACCTCATACACATACATACATATACTCCCCATGAGTACAGACATGTACCTCATGCATATACACACACATGCATGGACCCCCCCACACTACATATATACATGCATACACATGCCCCACACATATGCACAACCCACATACCTGCATATACATACACCCCACCCACATACATACACACCTCATACACACACATACATGCACACACTCTATGCACACATTATATATATGTACCCTGTGCATGCACCCCACATACTACCTGTGTGCGTGCATGCACACACCGCACACATCTACACACACCTACACACCCATACATACACAATTCACACACATATATACATACATACCACATACACATACATAATGCATACAACCCACACCCATACACATATACCACACATGTGAGCACACACATACCGTGCATGCATGCATACATGCACACAGCATGCTAAACACACACACTCACACACACACCCTCCTCTCACTTCATCACCTGCCTGCTAGTTCCAGAACTTGCCACAGCCTGGAAAGGCTGACAAGCACTTGTACGTCAGACTTCTCTCCCCTTCTATCAGTCCCTTTGAGACTTCCTAGCATGAGGGCTCAGGCCTAACAACTAGCTTGTATTTCAAAAACACACCAGTCTCCACAGGAGAAAGAACATGAAACATTTTTATTACCGCAGCACCTATTTGGTAGGGGCGTGACACAACTTACAGCCAGCACCCAGCACGGGCCCTTATCACACAGCCTCAGAAGCCATTGCTGAGACAGCGCTGCCTTTTCCAGGCCACATCCTCCACTCAGAATTTGAGGCCTGAATGATCATGCAAAGCTCCTTGAAGGAAGTCTGTTCCCTACCCAAAGGCCAGGGCCTGCAACCTACTGTGTCCTCAGACAGGAAATTGTTTTTCTGTCCCAATGAATAAATAACAAACTCAACCTTCCTCCGAGCAATCAAAATTGATTAACTTTGGAATTGCAGAGGGGGCTAGGATGGCAAGCCCTGAAATTGCCCAGTCCTCCTGCTCCAGGGCCAGCATCAAGGACTAGGAGCTTCCAGAGGGTGCTGCTGCTGCTGCGGTCTCCTGGGAAAGGCTCTCAGCCCCCACTTCCAGCAGGGGGCAGCTGTCCTGGCCCCACAAATCCTCCAGGTGACAATGCTACAAACTCCCCAAACTGCCCGCAGGGCCCCTCTGAGACTTCAAGCCTTGCCGGGGTGCCCTGGGCCTGTAGTCTTCCTCTCCTGTGCTCATGCAGTCCCCACACCTCTTAAGCTGTGTGTTTGTCACATTCCTAGTAGGCACCAACTCCTTCCTGGCAGTTCACACTAAGGAAGAAATCGCCATCCCACTGCATAGGGATTGGCTGGCCACCTCCTCAGTGCTCCCTCACTCCACGCTGCAGGAGGACATGGGTGCTTGGAAGCCTCTGTGTTTACTGAGTTTTGCCTTCCGGAGACCCCAGGAAGGCTGCACAGTCACAAATTCCTCCTCACGTCTTATCTCTGTCTCCCTAATTCCCAACCAAGGGCACAAGAATGTGTGCCCAATCAGGACCTAGCTGGCGCTGGCTATTCCAGAACTCCCCAGGCTGAACGCTACTAGTGCCCAGCACGCTACCAATCTCCCAGGGGCTGCAGAACCTGACTCAGGAAAGTCACCAGCTCCAAGCACAGCAATCTTTCCCGATGCTGTAGGCTTTCATAGTTTTTCTTGCTTGTCTTTTCAACAAGCAACATCAAGATCATTTAAAACACACATTTTTAATATTCCAGTGCCTTGCTACAACACACAGAGCAACAGTTCCAAAATAACTCAGCATCTGTAATCCATAATTTATCATCCAAATTTGTTGTGTTCAATTATTCATATCCTGCAACAGTGTGTCCCCAAAGAAGCAAACAAATTCAAAAGAAATCTCAAAAAATGCAGAAGATGAAAAAATAAACCAAGTGTTGCAAGGAAGGTATCAGGATGGGGTGGGGAAGGGCTGCGGGAAATGCAGGCGTGATTGGAAGGAATTTCACAGAAGACTTTTCTTCAAGACCTGACAACACTGGTGTTTGTTGCCATATTCTCTTTATCGGGAGAGGAGTAGTGGTGGTCATACACCATTTTTTATTCCTAGCACAGATATCACCAATGTTTCTTCCAACCATTTTGGGGGAAGAGAATTCAGTCCACATTTCTACAAACATATATTTGTTTGTTTGTTTGTTTGTTTGTTTTAGAGTGGGGGTCTTGCTACTTTGCCCATGCTGGTCTTGAACTCCTGGCCTCAAGCGATTCTCCTACCTTTTGGCCTCCCAAAGAGCTGGGATTACAGGTGTGAGTCACCACACCCAGACTCTACAAATATCTATTAATCATCTATGATGTGCTAGGCACTGTGCTTGGCACACACACACACACAAAAGGTGAATAAGACACAGCTTTTGACCTTGAAGAACCTTCATTCTCACCGGGAAGGCAGAAAGGAAAGAAGTTCCACCCACAGGAGTCTGGTAAATGCTAGAAGAGAGTGACCTGAACTCAAGATGAGGGATCCATTGGTCCTGCCAGCAGGAGGGTGTCAGACAGCTTCACACACAGAGAGAGAACTTTTCATCAAGGCTTGAAGGTGAGAGTTTTTGGTTGGATAAAGTCAGGATGGATCATTGGGTAAGGGAGAAGGATAACCTAACAGAAACCCAGGGCAAAGAAATACAGAATTTCTGTTGGTTTCCACTTTAGATTACATAATCCATGTACTTGAATTGAACTAATTTCTTTTGCCAAGCTGTTATAGCCTAAGAACCAGACTGAACTACTTGAGTATTGGCTGTGTTCATTAAAGTGTTTTTATATTAAAAATATAGAGGCAACTTAATGTTAAACAACAGGGAAGAAATTAGTGAAGCAATCCATGCATTTAGTGGAAAATAAAATAGCATCAAAACTAACAGCATCTAAATTATTCATTTCATTCATTCAGCAAATCTTTGTTGAGCCCAAGGAGCACAGCATTGAGCAAACCAGCACAGTCGGGAGCTTGTACTCTACCAAAATAGAAAGCCAATAAACCACTAAGTACACTATACATTATCAGACAGTGATGGACAGATATGGTGGTCAGGGAAGTCTTTGGAGAGGCAACATTTCCGCATAGACCCGAACACAGCATATTCAGTGCAGACAGCACAGTAGGTGCAAAGGCCCTGTGGCTGGAATGTGCCTAAAAGGACCATAGCAAAGCAAGGGGGGCTGGGAAGAAGAAAGTTCAGGCTGATAGGCAGGGACCGGAGGACCTTGAAAGGAATTTGATTCATTCTGAGTGCCAAAAGAAACTTGAGTTTAAAGAAACTCAAGAATATGACATTCTCTTAGGTTTTTAAAAGATCATTCTAGATACCATGAGGAGACTTTACTGTAGGGGACAAGCGTAGAAAACAGGGGACTAGTGAAGAGGCTGACTCTGTGGTCTAGATGAGAGCTAATGGTGACTGGACCAGGAAGGAGATGTGAAGGTGGTAAGACATGATCAGATTCAATATGTAATTTAAAGGTACAGCTGTAATTTTTGCTGCTGGTGTGAATGTGGGGTGTGAGGGAAAGAGAGGGGTCAAAGTGACTCACGGGATCTGGGCCTGAACATTTGGGTGAACGATGGTGCCATTTACTAAAAAGGAAACAACGGGGGCAGATCCGATTCTGGCATGAAATTAAGAACTTTGTTTTAAATGTGTTAAGTTTGAGCCATTTATTAGTCATCCACGTGGAGATGTTGAGGTGGCCTTTGTGTATAGGAATCAGAGCGTCTGGAGAGAAGTCAGGGCTGGAGATAGAAATTTCTAAGTGGCCAATTTATAGATGGTATTTAAAGCCCTGTGAATAATTGAGATGACCTAGGAACTGAAAGTATTTGAGAACTGAGATTTGGACACGTCCCATATGTGCAGGAAACAAAGAACAGGAATATTCCACCAGTTGTCTGTCCTCTTTCGAGATTTCCTAAAAGTATCATCCAACAACTCAGTAAGTTCCACTTTCAGCTCATATGGGGCCACACTTAGCTGCAAGGGAGGCTGGGCAATGAAGTCTTGTACCTGATAAAATCAAGAAAGAAGGAGGCTAGATATTGTGCAGGTACCTAACATTGTCTCCCCTTCACCAACAGGACTCTGCCCACCCCCTGTTCAGACCCATTCTCCAGCCCCAAGCAGGGATTCCACACTGTAGGAGGAGAGATTGATGACCCAGAGGGCAAGAAAAGAAAGTGTTTCAGAAGACTCTCAAAATGCTCTGCCCTGAAAACGAGGGGTTATGATGGAATAGATTCAGTGCCTGGCTCATTGTGGGATATCAACAAAGAGCTGAAGAAGGAAGGAAAGAAGAAAGAAAGGGGAACAGACAAGAGATAGGGACACAGGGAAAGAGGAACTCAGCAACAATATAATTTTCCCAAATTTATCAGCAAAAGAGCACCTGGAGTTTGGAGTCTGGAGATTATCGTTCACCTACCACACGTAGGTTGCCCACTTAATCCACCTGAGCCTCTTTTTACGAATCCAAAGGCAGAATATTTCCAACACAGATTTGGTAATAAACTGGGTGCTCTGACATATGGTTAGCAGTATTGTGAATTGGTACATCTCACTGGAAAAGCAATTTATCAGTACAAATCAAGAGTATACAAAAATATGCACACTTTTGACTGAGTTCTGAGTTTCTGTTCTACAAAATAATTCCCATATATTAAAAAAAAAAACACTTGTACAAATATTAAAATAGCCTGAGTCCCTGATGACATTGTGGTCTCTGAACTGTTTTATATGGGAGAATAAAGCATTAGTTGTTTAACTACTGTAGTCTGGTCTCTATTACTAGTGTCTGGACACAATTCCTAACTGATACCAAGCAGGGGAGAGTCTGATTGATTGGGGCTGACCTGGAAGTCAGGTTACTTCTGGTGGTGACAGAGGGAAGTAGGAAAATAGCATGCAATAAACACTGAAATTAGTCCTGCTGATCTTTTAGGGGGAAGCGGATGATCCATTCTAATTTTGGTTTCAAGTGTGTGATTGATATAGATGCAGTATATATAGATACATATAGATGCCAGAGAATGACTATCTTTCCTGGAATATAAGGTGCTTTTAAATGCTACAGCAAACGCTAGTAAGAACTCTTTGGTGTAATACTGTAAACAAAAAAAGCAGGCCAATGTATATAGTATTCATTCTGATTATAGCTCTGCAAAGATGTGATTTTTTAACTTTTGAGACTTTTACTATGTTTTTATTAAGCTATAATTTATGTGAGGAGAAATTTGCTTGTTTTAGAGTACAGTTCTGTAGGTTTTGTGACAAATGCCTGTAGTCATGTAACCATTACATGTATAATCAAGACATAGCATTGTTCCCTCACCCCATAAGATACCGTCATATCCCACTGTGATCAGTTCTCTGCCCCATCCCAACCCCAGGCAACCAATGATCTGTTTCTTCCCCTGTAGTTTTTCTTTTTCCAGAACATCAGAACATCCTGTAAATGGAATCACACAGTATATAGTCTTTTGAGTCTGGCTTTCCTCATTTAGCATAATGTGTTGAGATTCACCCACATTCTCCAATGTATCAATAGTTTGTTCTTTTTATTGCTGTGTGGTATTCCATTGTATAAATGGACTGCAGTTTGTTCATCCATTGAGGAACATTTCTGTTGTTTCTAGTTTTGAAAATGAATAAACAATAAACATTTAGTGTAGGTTTTTACATTTGGTAAATGTAGGTTTAATTTTAAAAGAAACTGCCAAAAACTTTTCCAAAGTGGCTGTATCATTATCCACTCCCACCAGCAGTGAATGGGAGTTCCAGTTGCTCCAAATCCTCTCCAACACTTAATATTGTCTTGTTGTTGGTTGTGTTAACCATTCTAAAAGCTGTGTGGTGGTATCTCAATGAGTTTTAATTTGCATTTCCTTAATGACTAACAATGTTGAGCATCTTGTCATGCTGGTACCAGCTTTACTCAAATACCAAACCAGACAAAGACATTATAACAATGGAAAACTGCAAAGCAATATCTCTCATGAAAATAGATGCAAAAGTCTTCAAAAAAAATTAGCAAATCAAATGCAACAATACATGAAAAGAATTATACACCACAACCAAATGGGATTTATTCCAGGCCTGGTTAAACATTTGAAAATCAATATAATCTATTCAATGCAGTATAATTCATATAACAACAAGCCAAAGAAAAAAATCATATGATCACATCAATAGTTGCAGAAAAAGCATTTGACAAAATCCAACACCTATTCATGATTTTTAAAAAAACCAAAAACGTCTCAGCAAACTAAGATTAAAGAGGAAACTTCCTCAACTTGATAAATAATATTTACAAAAAATCCATAGCTGACATCATACTTAATGGTGGGAAACTAAATGCTCTCCCACTAACATTAGGAACTAGGCAAGAATGTTCATTCACTCTTCCCACTCCTATTCAACAATATACTGGAAGTCTTAGCTAATGCAATAAAACAAGAAAATAAAATGTATACTGGTTGTGAAAAAAGAAAATTACTTATGTTTATAAATAACATAATTGTCTATGTAGAAAATCCCAAAGAACCAACAAGAAAACCTCCTGAAACTAGTAAGTAGTTATAACAATGTTCCAGACACAAGATTAATATACAAAAGTCTATTGCTTTCTTATGTACCAGCGATGAACAATTAGAATTTGAAATTAAAAGCACAATGCCATTTACATTAGCATAAAAAATGAAATAGGTATAAATGTAACAAAATATTACAAGATCTATATGAGGAAAAGTATAAAACACCAATGAAAGAAACCCAAGAAGATGTAACTAAATGGAGAGATATTCTATGTGTGTGGATAAGAAGACTCAATATTATCAAGATATCAGTTCTTCTCAATTTGATCTATAGATTCAATGCAATCCTAGTCAAAAATCTAAGGAAATTGCTTTGTGAGTATGAACAAACTGATTCTAAAGTTTATATGGAGAGGCAAAAGACCAGGAAAAGCCAACACAATATTGAAGGAGAAGAATAAAATCAGAAAACTGACACAGCCTGACTTTTATTACTACTGCTACTTCTACTAATTCTAATTCTACTATAATCAAGACAGTGTGTTATTGGCAAAAGAATTGACCCAAAAAACATCAGTGGGATAGAATACAGATGCCAAAACTAAACTCACACCAATCTAGTCAACTGATTTTTGACAAATAAGCAAAGGCAACACAATGGAGAAAGGCCAGTTTTTTCATCAAATATTCCTGGAACAATTTGACATCCATATGCAAAAAAAAAAAAAAAATGAAACTAGACACAGATCTTTTGCCCTTCACAAAAATTAACTCAAAATGGATCATAGACCTAAATGTAAAATGTAAAATTATAAAAATCCTAGAAGATAACATAGAAGACCATCTAGGGGACCTTAGTTTTGGTGAAGACTTTCTAGATACAACATCAAAAGTTCAATCCATGACAAAAATAATTGAAGTTAGATTTCATTAAAATTAAAAACTACTGCTCAACGAAAGACACTGTTAAAAAAATAAGACAAACCAGACAGGGAGAAAATTCTTGCAAAACACACATGTAATAAAGGACTAGTATGCAAAATATACAAAAAAAATTCTTAAAACTCATCAATAAGAAAACAAACAACCCAATTTTTTAAATGGGCAAAAAATCTGAACACACACCTCACTGAAGAAGATGTATGCATGTCCTGGGCAAATAAGCATATGAAAAAATACTCATGATATGTTGTCAGAGAATTGCAAATTAAAACAACAATGAGATACCACTACACACCTATTAGAATGGTTAAAGACCAAAACACTGACAACACCAAACACCAGTCAGGACCTGGAACAACATTGCTGGTGGGAATGGGAATGTAAAATGGTACAGCCACTTTGGAAGACAGTTTCTTACAAAACTAAACATAATCTTTATACAGTCCAGCAATCGCACTCCTTGGTATTTACCCAAGGAGTTGAAAACTTATGTCCACACAAAAACCTGCACACAGATGTTTATAGCAGCTTTAGTCATAATTGCCAAACCTCAGAAGCAACCAAGATGTCCTTTAGAAGGTGAATGAGTAAACAGACTGTGGTACATCCAGACAATAGAATTATTCAGCAATGAGTAAACAGACTGTGGTACATCCAGACAATAGACTTATTCAGCAATAAAAATAGTTCAGCTATTATGCCTCAAAATAACGTGGAGGGGGCTTAAATGCATATTGCTAAGTGAGAGAAGCCAACTTGAAAAAGCTACATACTGTGAAATTCCAACTATATGACATTCTGGAAAAGGCAAAACTGTGGAGACAGTAAGAAGAGCAGTGGTTTCCCAGGGTTAAAGCGAGGGAGGGATGAGTGCATGAAGCACAGTGGATTTTTATGGCAGTGAAACTACTCTGTAGGATACTGAAGTAGTAGACACATGTAAACCTAAAACTAAACTGCTCTAAAAAATAATGTCAATGAATTTTTTTAACAAGATGGAATGACCACTTCAAACAAATTTCCTTAAAAGAGAGACCCCATCCTAGAATGACTTAGTCACAAAGACCTAAAAAAGGATCTAATTCACCATCTTCATTTTATCTATGAAAAACTGATATTTTTATGAACGTAGGAATTGTTTGTCCCAGATTACATACATTTGGATCTGCCAAGATGAATTCAGATAAGTGGTGGAGAAGGGTCTGGACTGGGCAGAGGACATTCCATTTCTAATTAGGGCTCAGCCACAGTCTAGCTGTGCATTTCGGGTTTTGACATCAGAATCTGATTGCAGGATTCCATATATGTGCTAACTGAAGAGCCACGTTCCTTTCTCTGGGAAGGTCATCTTCGACTGACGCATATGGATGCACGTGTATGATGCATGAAACAGAGAGGGTATCAGTGGGCAGTACTGGATTCAGGATCATTGCCGTCAAACCCAGTTTGCAGTTTCATTCTATTATCCATTCTCTGGTGTACTAAATATTTATAGAGATCTGGGAATACACTCTATCTGACTCTATGGAAATTTCCTAGAGGCAGAGCTAAGACCAAAACTCATGTGTTCTGGCTCTTAGCCTAATTTATTTCACATAAAATGTTTCAATTTGCATGTTGGATGTTTACACGGGTTTTTATGAACTATACCTGCATTCAGGGTTCCAAGTTGCAAGAAATAGTGAGGAACTCCATAGCTTCAGCCCCTTCTCTTCTTCTCACTTTGATAGCTTGTGGGCCATTTGAACACTGCAAGGTCTAGATGGACAGCTCAGCCTTCTGCACTCCCTGCACCATGTACACCAACATTTGCCAAATACAACCACATTTGGGTCTGCCAAGATGAATTCAGATAAGTGGTAGAGAAGGGTCTGGACTGGGCAGAGGACATTCCATTTATAATTAGGGCTCAGCCACTGTCTAGCTGTGCACTTCGGGTTTTGACATCAGAATCTGATTGCAGGATTCCATATATATGTTAACCGAAGAGGTACATTCCTTTCTCTGGGAAGGTCATCTTTGACTGACGTGTATGGATGCATGCGTATGATGCATGAAATGGAGAGGGTATCAGTGGGGACCGCTGGATTCAAGATCATTGCCTTCAAACCCAGTTTGCAGTTTCATGCTATTATCCATTCTCTGGTTTACTAAATATTTATAGAGATCTGGGAATACACTATATCTGATTGTATGGAAAGTTCTAAATAGTTCTCAAACATTTATAATCTGGATTAAAAACCCTTAGTAATCACCCACAGTGCTATTCACAAAGCAGGTTGCTGAAGGTTGGATTCCTCAGGCAGCAGTTGCTGAGTGGGAGTTTCGCATGTGGGATGTTTTTAAAGAAGTGCCCTGGGTATCATGCGATGAGATGATGGATGAGAGGGGAAGGAAACAGCATGGGGCAGAGGAAAAAATCAGGCAGTGATTCAAGTCCAATGACAAACTCAACCAATCCTACAGGGAGTTCTGGAACTAAAATGACTCTTTGGATTCGTCCCACATTGGGGCAAAATGGCCAGGCCTTCATACACCCAAACTCCATCCATCACCATATGTGGCTGCCCTGGGAAGGAGCATGATTTTGGGAGAGGTGGTTTTCTGCAGCTGAGGGGATGCTGAAGAGGCTGACAGCTGCAGGTATCTGTTGATGACCCACCCCCAGCCCCAGACCCATCCACAGACCTTTCATGGAATGAGGGATCTGGGCATGCATCACAGTGCCTGCCACACAGGCACCCAATGGGTACATATGGAAGAGATGTTGGATACTTTTCCACTTTGCAGAGTAATTCACAAATCTGCCACTCTGCCAGTCAGTCACCACTCTCTAAAACAGAGATCCTTTTCCAACCCCAAAATATGTCTCTGTCCTTCCTTTGGAGGGCCTATGTGTTAGTCCATTTTGTGTTCCTGGAATACCTGAGACTGGTATAAAGTAAAGAGGTTTATTTGGGTCACGGTTCTGCAGGTTTTACAAGAAGCATGGCACCAGCGTCCGCTTCTGGTAAGGGCCTCAGGGAGCTTCCAAACATGGCAGAAAGTGAAGGGGGAGCAGGCGTGTCACATAGTGAGAGAGGGGTCAAGAGACAGTGGAGGAGGTGCCGGGCTCTTTTTAACATGTGAACTAATAGAGTGAGAGCTCACTCATTACCACGGGGAGGGCAACAAGCCATTCATGAGGGATCTGTCCCCATGACCGAAACACCTCCCCACCTCCAACACTGGCAATCAAATTTCAACATGAGATTTAGAGAGGACAAAATCCAAATGACATCAGCCTACCTGGGGATTCTAAAATCTCTCAACTAAAGACACAGTTCTCAATGTGCCTTTGGCCTGGAGACCAACAAGTCAATCCATCACACTAACTTTATCATACAACCTGCCTTAAAGCCAAATGCTCTCTCCGGTTTTGATTTATTCACCAAGAAAACTGTCCTCTAGTGATTAACTGACAGCATGTTGTTGAGCCCTAGGCCTTATCTGTTTGATCTCCAAGACCAAAACCACGGTCAAATAAATCCCCTGAGTCCCCTGAGGATTCCCAAAGGGAAGGAGGTGGGAAACCTGGGACTGTAATTAGAACTTTGTTGTTCCCATGACCCCACCACCCTATTCCACTCCTGGTTGTCTAAGAAAGACGGCAGGGAATCAGGAGAACATTCTGAAAGACTCCGAACATTTGCATGAATGCAATGGCTTTTGGAGGAATAGTGGAATTTATAAGCCTAATGATGGGGATGGACTCTTCCAAGCAGAGGAAGAGCTTGAGCAAAGTTGGGAGGACAGAAAACATAGGGCAGGCCAGGGAAGGTCATTAGTTCAGCTCTGTCAAGGCACTTACAGCATAGAGAATGTTTATGGCAAAAGGACTTTGAATGCTATGCTGAAAACATTTATTCTGGAAGCAGTAGGAACACATATACCAGATAAGTGATGAGGGTAAGAGATATTTTCTACAGTCGTGAACACCAGGAATGACTGGCTGCCCCTTGAGCGCTGGATGACAGGCTTTGCAATGAACCCCAAGGGCAACAAAAGTGGAAGCTCCCTTTGGTTAAAAATAAAAAAAATCAAAGGGTTGACAACAGAAAAGCAAGGGTACAGTTGGGCCTCCTGTATCCATAGGTTTTGTGTCAACGGATTCAACCAACCTTGGAAGATACATCGAAAAAATGGATATTTCCATCTGTACTGAAAGTGTACAGACTTTTTCCCTTCTAATTATTCCCTAAACAATACAATATAACAACTATTTACGTAGCATCTACATTGTATTAGGTATTATAAGTAATCTAGAGATGATTTAAAGTATATGGGTGTATGTGCATATGGTATATGCAAATACTACACCATTTTATATCAGGGACTTGAGCTTCCATGGGTTTTGGTATCCAAGGGGATTGTGGGGTCCTGGAACTGATCCCCCACAGATACCAAAGGATGACTGTATTTTCTAGGCAGAAGAATTATTAGTACCAGAACTGATAAATACCAAGCCACAAAAGCCAGCTTTGAAGTCTAGACAAGCTATTTCCTTCTTCTACTGGTTTCTATTTATAATACTTCTCCTGCAGGAGGGTTTTCTGCTCTCTGATAGCTATATGATGGCACAAACATGCACACACACACACACACACATCCCACCTTGGAACTCCATCCAAAAAGCCTGTGGCAGTAGTGGCTCCACCTCAGCAGGCTAGAGCTGCCACCACCAAGACCTCTTCCCCTAGGGCTGATCCTTCCCGCTGTCAGCCCCACATAGCGGCATTTCCCTAACAGCCTCTCATCATCCCATCGGTGGCTGAAAGCAAGTCACCAAGCTGCTGTGTAAGCTGCACAGGGAGTGCTACTTGTCCCTGTGGATTCAGTTTCTGTTTCTTCTGTTTGTGGTTGCTCCTTAGGATGCTTTGCTCTCTTGTGTAGCCTGAGATATGAAGAACAAATGCGGGGCTCATTCTCCACTCCCCTCCTGCACAGCCCCTTAGCCCAGCCAGAGGAGCCCATCACCACCCCCAGGACTCATGCTTGCTCTGTGCCTCCTGCCTTCACTTGCTGTCTTCTCTCCCCACTGGCCCATTCTTCAGAACCCTTCCCTGCTCCCCCAGGTCTACCTCGAGTAAGGCCAGCAATTCAGAGCACATGTCTAGTCTTTACAGGGGCCTGGAGCAACGATGATCAACACAACCCACTGGACTTTGTGCAGGACCAGGGCAGAAGCTCAGTCCTCAAGCTGATCAGCAGGAGGGGCAGGAGCACTGTGAATTCAGGCAACTCGGACGCCTGGGGTTGATGAAGATCCAACCCCTGCTCATAGCCAAGGGCAGATCCCAGTGTTTGTGGTGCAATTTTGAGAGCCTAAGAAAAAGAACACGGAAATATCTGTGTTTGCAATTGTACAAAAACACGTGATCATATGAACACACTGCTGTGACCCCTCTCAAAGCCAGAGAAGGGTCTGAAGCTCAGTCTTCAGTCCTTCCCAGAAAATGCACCTCTCTTCATAGCACTAGCCACCCCACCCCCACAGCACCTGTGCTTGGCAGGAACAGAAGTATTAGGTAGGGAGAAGGCAGAGTCCGTGGGTCATCACTGGACCGAGAGTAGCCATTCACTCATTCATTCACCACCATGTCACTCACAGCCAGGCTGTGCTACCCACTCCTGCTCCTGCTCCTTGCCCAGGCACGGTGTGCACATAGTGCCTACAGTGAAGGATACCTCCATGTGTCCCTTCAGGCAGCACATACAACTTGGCACGTGAAGCCTGACCTGGATTTCAGCCCCAATTCGCCCCCTCCCCCTCCACCATGTTCAAGCTCAACCCTACTCATAGCCTCCTAATGCACACCTGCTGCCATCCGCTGGGTCTGGAATGCCTCCCACGCCCACCTGGCAAACTCTTTCGAGACTGGGGCCAGACCTTTTTTCTCCAGGGAGGCTTTCTCTGACCTACCTAAGCAGTTAAAACATGACTTCCATGTATCCTTGTATGTGCCTATCATCCTACCTCCTGTGCGACATCACTGTGATTTGTACTGCTTTCTGCCTCTCATTCACTCTTGGACACCTGAACATACCATGGACTCATGCAAACGTCCCTTGTTGAACGTGCATTCTATGTCAGACGCTTCTAAGGCTTTGCACAACATCCCACATGCATTGGAAGTGAACAGGGCTAGGGTTATTTATACACTTCCTGCCTGTCAGAATTGACTCCAGGCCTGGAGTGGGACTGAAACTGCAGTCAGGAATCAGAGAGCTGGGGAAGGCAGAGACGGGGCGGTGGGTGGGAACCAGTGTATCTTCGGCATTTACCACTTACTGCTTCATATGCTCTATCCATATGATGTGTTCCTTTGGATGCACAAGCTACATACAGGCAGTGGCTGTGTCACACAATTCATTATGTAAATATTCTTTCATAAACAGCATGGGCCTTGCACACAATGTTTGGTAAATAAATATTGTGGCATGCTTGGTTGTCATGATTCAAAACTGGACAGTATCTACTGAATCACATAGCTGAGAATTTGCTTTGTCCGTCTTACCACCTTCAAGCAACTGTGCAAAGATGGCTCAGTTTGGCCTTCAGTTCTCTAATGAGACTCCCCAGCATTCATTAGAACTCCATCCCGCCAAGAGATACTCACCTACAGATCTTCTGAATGAAATGACTGTTGCAGCACAACTTCCTATGATCTTCTACGCAAAACCAAGTGTCTGGCCTCATGTTCGAAGTCACCCTTAGATTTGACACAAGTAACATTTGATTCTAGTAAACATATACCTCTCTACAACTTCATGTAATCTACAATCTGCAAGCATAAAATGAAAAGTACTTGGAATTGAGTATTAAAGAAAATGTACATGCATATTCTAAATTGTGCCTTCAGAGAGATTATGCTTTAATAAAAAGAATTCTGGGGTGAGTTCAGGACTGGTTCCATGGACAATTGGAAACTCCACACTTAGTAGAATTGATGAAGTGCTGCAGGCTTTATGTGCATTGTTAACTAACGAGTAGTAAATTCAGTTAACTTGATAAAACAATTGGAACACTAACTGCACCTTCTTTGTAAATAATGTCTTTATCCTTCCAGTAGTAGTTAAGCTCACCCTCCTGCTAAATTCCACAATACTGTGTATCTTTCTTGTGTCTCCCTGTCTTTTCCTTTAGATTCATTCAACAAATCAAGCTGAACATCTGTTACTGCTTGCCACTGCTCTGAATGCTAGCAATACTGCAGGGAACAAGCCAGATCAGTCCTGCCCTCTTGGAACTTATGTTGTGGTGATGAAGACACACAGGACACAGATACAAGAGTGTGTTTCCTCTGCCCCAGGACTGAAAGCTCCTTGAAGATAGAAACCACGTCTGAAAAATAAAAAAAAAAGTAATAGAAAAGTCTTTGAAATCTTGGCTCCTGCTATACAGTTTGCTTATCTGGTGGAATTTGCAAGTTCTAGCAGCTAAGATGTTGTGCCCACACCCTGTAACATCTGTCTGGTGTCTCCATCACACACCCCAGATGTCACACCCAGTCGTACCATGCACCAGGTAGCCCAAGCTGTTCCCAGCACTTACGCTCCTCCCCTGCCCTAAGATGAGAACATCCAAGGCTGAATTAACAGGGCAGAAAGAAAGGAGCTGGGGGACATAAAAGTAACTTGTTCACTGGCCTATTAATATCTAAAATCTTCCTGTCATTTACATGAAAATAATTAAGGTTTGGGGAAAATATCAACAAGCTTAAATGTCATCACATGGGCTGTTACCTCTTCTAATAGGCACCAAAAATAAGAATAACTCTCCCCTCGCTCCCATCTTTTTCAACTTCCACTCTTTAAGGAATCCACCAATAACGTCGCTGGCCCCAACTAGTGAGTTTGGGACCCCAAGGTGGATGGCAACTCACAGTGTCATGATAAAGGTGGGGCAGCCAGAAACCAGAGCCGGCAGGGCTTTGCCTCCTAAATACCCCCTTGTGCTTTGTTGGGAGTTCTTTCAGCTCTAGAGAAGAAAAAAGGAAGACAATGGGCTCTAGGACATTCCCGCTGGCGCAGAACCTGGGCCCACTCCCGGGGCTCCCAAGGGGTGGGTCCCAGAAATCTTTCTGTGAATCCCCTCTGCCTAGAAGTCTTCCTCCGTAAGACAAGGCAGCTCTGTTTAGGATCTGACTAGCCCTTTCTTCTGTGGGAATCATAGAGCACCTGCTAGCAGCACAAATCCTTCCAGACTAATCCTCTGCATGCATTGTCCAAAAGCCTCTCAGAACAGATTATATATAGTGCTCCTCTAGGGAAACTCCTGGTTCTGAGCTCATCTAGAACCTTCCTTCCCAAATATCCACCAACGTGGGGGGGAGCTTCTTGCTTTGCGAAATTTGAATGTGAAGTTTTTCATCCCTTGAGCATCGTGAAGATGTGGAGGATGAGCCTGTTTAAGGATTCTGCCACGGAAAAGAGTTTCATAAATGTTCCACCTTGTGAGCACCTAGGGGTATGGTAATTAAGAGTTATTTAACCTTCTGACTCTCTCAGTACCGTTTTTCATTTCCTCCAAGCATTAACGTCTGCTATTGAAGACACTGGGGACCCCTCTACAGCTATTCTAGTTTTCCAAATGTCCTCTTTTTTAGCTGGTTGAAATCCCTGAGGCTCCAGAAAACCATGATTTGTTTTTGTTTTTGTTTTTTTTCATTTGTGAATTCTTTTCTCTCTCTTGCCTGGATCACTAATCCCAGCCTCAGCTGGCAATGAATGTTGGGGTCTCAAGCAGATTGCCCTCCCTTTTGGACAGCAAAACACGGCTGCTCAGGGCTTCCTCTAGAACCCATTAGAGCCCAATTCCTCCATAGACTGCGAAACTCCACCCACGAAACTTTGGTTCCCTGGCCTCCTCCTACCTTCCCAGTGCCCTCAGGAAACCCTCTGTTACCTCAGTTGGCATATCTGTATAATGGGGATAAAAACATAGTACCTAGCTTCTGGATAATTGTGTGATTACATGAGATAATACGTATGAAGCACTTTACCCAGAGCCTGGGATGTAGCTCTCAATAAATGTTAGCTATTACTTTTATGGCTGATTGGTATCGATTCATGTTGGCTCACGGCATGCCACTCAAATAGGTTTGTTCCTGTTCAGCAAGAAGTCAGTACACATTCCTAAGGTGCCCAGTGCTCCCTGAAGAGGGGTATTCTTGATTGTAACTTGAGATTGTGCGAGACATGCATAAAACACGGAGCTCCTCTTACCTTATAAATAGACAGTGTCTATTTCCCTTGCAGTTTTTCCATATGTTCTTTTTTGAGTTTGTTTTATTTCCCTCTTTTAAAGTCTAGAAGAGCTGGATGCACAAAATACATTTTGGAACTCACTTATCAGAAGAAAGCCCATCAGAAAGACAGCATTTGCTTTCCTATTATTGATACTGATATTAATAAATAGTGAAATAGCGCTTGGCACTTAGAAAACAATGCTTTCCACCTCCAATAGCATTTGCAAGCATTAAGGAGTTCTTCTAAGCATTGCTTCTATAAGGTAGGAAAGCACTCACTCTCTTCCATTCATCAAAATATCACACACATCTACTACAAGAACCTATGTTCTATTGTTCTTTTTTGTTGTTGTTTGATTTTAACACAGAAGAGTTACTTCTTGGCCATTGTATATAGTCAACATTAAAAATTTGATTTTTTTTTTTTGAGATGGAGTCTCACTCTGTCACCTAGGCTGGAGTGCAGTGGTGCAATCTCGGCTCACTGCAACCTCCGCTTCCTGGATTCAAGCAATTCTCCTGCCTCAGCCTCCTGAGTAGCTGGGGTTACAGGCGCACACCTCCATGCCCGGCTAATTTTTGTATTTTTAGTAGACACGGGGTTTCACTATGTTGGTCAGGCTGGTCTCAAACTCCTGACCTTGTGATCTGCCCACCTCGGCCTCCCAAAGTGCTGGGATTACCAGTGTGAGCCACTGCGCCTGGCCAAAATTTGATTATTTTTAACCATTGAGTCTCCCTACTTAGGAGAGAGACTTCCTATTTCCCTATTTAGGAAATATTAGTTAAATCTGAGACAGAGAAGTCTGACTCTAGCACTCTCGGCCCTTTGATGGGAAGGGGAAATGTTTTTTCTGTTTTGTTTCCACACAGAGCACCAAGCAAAACCCCAACGCTGAGCTGTCTGATGGAACTTTCCACAGTGATAGAACCGTTCTACAAGGTGCATTCTTGAGCATAGCAGCCACCAGCCACATGTGGCAAATGAGCACTGGAAATATGGCTAGTGTTATTGAGACACTGGATTTTTAAGTTAGTTTAATATTAATGATTTTGAATTTACATTTTTGGTTTTTAAGAGACAGAGTCCCTCTTTGTCAACCAGGCTGGAATGCAGTGACATGATCAAAGTTCATTGTAGCCTCAAATTCCTGGGCTCAAACAATCCTCCCACCTCAGCATCCCAAGTAGCTGAGACTATACCATCACACCTGGCTGATTTAAAAAAAAAAAAATTTTTTTAAAGACCAGCTATGTTGCCCAGGCTTGTCTCAAACTCTTAGCCTTGCACAGTCCTCCTGCCTCAGGCTTCCAAGTACCTGAGAGTAGCTGGGACTACAGGCTGAGCTATGGCACCTAGTTATTTTTTTTGTTTGTTTATTTATTTTGAGACAGAGTCTCTCTCTGTTGCTTAGGCTGGAGTGCAGTGGTGCCGTCTCAACTCACTGCAGCCTCAGCATTCCCAACTCAAGTAATCCTCTCACCTCAGCCTCCCAAGTAGCTGGGACTACGGTTATATGCTACCACGCCCAGCTAATTTTGTTTATTTTTTGTAGAGACAAGGTTGCATTATGTTCTCCAGGCTGGCCTTGAACTCCTGCCCTCAAGCGATCCCCTGCCTAGGCCTCCCAAAGTGCTGGGTTTGCAGGTGTTCCAGCTCCTGAATTTAGATTGGAATCGACACACGTGGCTGGTGGCTACCCTATCAGACAGCACAGCTCTCACACCGCAGGAAAATGTTGTCTCTGCATGCAAGAGGGATTGCGGCCATGAGGAAAACATTCATATGGCCCTATTTTAAAACTTGGCCTTTGAAATGAGTTTTTAGATTTTTAAAATAGAAATATCTGGCTACTCTGACAAGTCTCTAGAAAAGTCAGGCTTGAAAACTGCCAGCACCCTGGTAGCGTGGTTCATCGCTCATCAATCTTTAATGCTCTGTTCAAAGTAACCTCTATATCAAGGTTGCTTGAGTGAAGGGAGTGTGTGGATATTGACAAGCAGGCTGCCACGGGCTCCTGAGAAAACTGTGGGCACATTCCTCTTTTGCATGAGGCTCTTCTATAACTGAGATTTTTTTTTAACTGCAGAATGTGGCTGTAAATTAATAGCTTTCTTGACAAAAGAGCCTCCCAATGCCAACTACTGATTTTCTGTTCTCTATCCATTTTTTGTTAAGCTAGACACATTCGCATAGAACACCAAGGACAGCTCAATGCAGAGGAGACCAGAAAGGGCAGGTCTTGGGCCGGAGAAGTGGGTCAGGTAGGAACAAAACAAAACGAAATGTTTGTCCCATTTGGAAAGGAAACAGTCACAAGCAATTTGTGCCACTGCCAGAACGCAAGTCCAGAAATGCTTGTACCCAAAATACATGTTCCACTGAATACAGCCCTTAGAATAAGGATGGAAGCTCCTCTTGGCCCCCGGCACTTACATCCAAGGAGGCAAACTGACGCCTGCTGTCAGATCAGGGGAAGTCAGGAGGTTAATAGTCTTGATCCCAAACCTCCTGGGAAAGCTGAAAAGTTGAATCCAGCTGCAACAAACAGCTTGGGACTCAGGAGTGATATGCGGCTGTCTGTCACTCACAGACTGTACGCAGGCATGCCAGTAACGTCTCCTTAAAGCAGAAGAGGGAAAATGAGAACCACAGCAAACAATTACCAATAACAGTGAAAGCTGAGATAGAAAGCACCATTACTTTTGTAATTCCTTTTGTGTCAAGGTGTGTGTATTTATAGCTCGCTCTCTATTAAACCATTTAAGAGTTAGCAGTTATGCTTTGCACATTGATGAATATAGTAATTATCTATCACTGCATAACAAATCACCCCAAAACTTAGTGGCTTAAAACAACAATCACCATTTTTTTTACCTCTCACTGTTTCTGAAAGCTGCGATTCAGGAGTAGCTCAGCCAGGTACTTTGGGTGTAGGGCTTCTCCTGAGATTGCAGGCGATGTCAGCTGGGGCCACAGTCATCGGAATGCTTGACAGAGTTGAAGAATCCACTTTGGAAGTGGCTCACTCACACAGCTGGTGAGCTGGTGTTGCCTAGTTGCTTTTTGGTACATGGGTCTCTGGACAGAGAGTCTTCATGATAAAGCAGCTGGCTCCCCCTAAAGCAATTGGTCCAAGCACAGGTGGTGCCTGGCCCTGGAAGTCATACACATCACTCCTGCTGAGCTCTGTCGGGTACACAGGCCAGCTCCGATTCACTGTGGGAGAAGAACACACCAGGGAGGCCTGGGGCCTCATGAGCCATCTTGGAGGCCGGCCACCACTGTGGAAAGTGTATTTTTAGAGTAGAAGTATAATTGACCCTAAATTGAAACAACAATGATATGTCACTTTTTATTCTTCACATAAGTATAAAATTTAAAAAAAATATATCCTGCCCCAGAGGGGAACTGGGGAGAAGGGTCATCTCCATTGTGGCTTGTGATAAAATAAATTAGCACCATCTACCTGGAAAACAAAGTAACTATCAACATTTTCAGTGTGTGTGACATTCAATCCTTCTGCTCTTTTATCTCCGTCCTAGAGAAGGACCAAGTATGTGTACAAAGAGGCAAAACCCAGAATGTTTGCTGCAGCTCTCAGGGGTGGGGGTAACAGTAACAGACGAGAAGTAACCCAAGTTGTTTCTTCGAGGTAACTGGTTAGAAAGCTATGGTCCTGTGTGATGGTTGTGCATCTCTGAATATACTGAAAAAAAAAACCCTCTGAATTATATACTTTAAGTGCATGAAGTTTATGGTAAGTGAATTATATCTTAATCAAGCTGTTAGAGCAAACAAAAAACAACTATGGTACATTCACAGAAGGGACTACATATAATGCAGTTGTAAAAAAGATAATAATAAAGAATAAGCTTTCTAGGATTTCATTAGTGAAAAAACAGAGAATAGTGTATTCAACGTGCTACCTTTGGGAAGGGTGCAAAATAATGATATGCATTTATATTTGCTTATATCTGCAAGAAGACAGGCTAGAAGGATACCCAAGAAACAAAGCTGAGGGTGGGGCAGATGGGGAGGAAGGAGGTAGACGGGACAGAGGCATACGCAGGCTTCTCAGTATATATCTTTGTTATATCATTCTGATGTTTGAACCATGTATATTACCTAATGAGAAATACGATAAAGTAATAAAATACAGTAAAAAATTCTACACATTCTAGTTCTAACTCAATTACTACAATTAACTCTGTAGTTATAGAGATATAATTGTACTTTTTTTTTGAGGTGAGGTTTTGCTGTGTTACCCAAATTGGTCTTGAACTCCAGTGCTCAAGTGATCCTCCCACTCCAGCCCCCCAAGTAGGTGGGATTATAGGTGTACATCACTGTGCCTGACTTTCATTTTCCTTTTCTGAGTTTCAGTTCTCTCTTCTCTCAAATGGATTCATTGTTCTTTGATCTCTTGGTGTCTCTGAAAGTCATTATATATGACTTTGTATAAATTCATTATATATGAATATATGTCTATATTCATTGTTGTTTGAATATATGTCTATATTCATATATAATGTGTATGTATATGTGTATGTCTATATATGTATGTATGTCTATATACATACACATATACATTCATACATGTTTTAAAAGAGGGAAGGAAAAAGCTTAATTGATTAGATGGTATTCCAGCCTGTGTTTCCTTAGTTATATGTGTGTAAAAAATGCTTTGCCTGGTTGTGCCCCACAGCCACACTTCACCTATTACCTGAATTATGGGTCTAAGAGATGACGGAAGCTCTTGGAGAACTTAATTCATAACCCACATCTCCATGGAATGTTCCCACCATGTGACCACAAAGTGGAGAGAGACATCGATAACTAAGAACAAGCAATGTCTGATCCTATAGATAAAATGAACAGGAATGGATACTGGGGCAGGAAACCCAAGTTTTCAACAGAGAAGTGGTTAGAACAGGGGTAGAACCAAGACAACTGGAATATTAGAATGATGAGACAGTGATATGCAGGCATCTTTTTTCATCATCTCAAATTCAGAATTTATTGTAGATATGGACACTGTACTAGAACTGCAGGTGCCCTCTCCGGCTCTTCCACAGCCCAGTGTCCCCTCCAGTTGCATGCCACCAGCAGATGACATTCTCACCATCACAGCAACCATTGGATTTACTACCAGAAGACGCCAGTTAACAACATATGTAGAAGTGCAGTGATACATCAATCCACTAGCACTCCTGAACACATCAGCCTGGCGTGAGCAGAGCCCTGTAGAGCCCTGACATGGAAGAAAACAGGCCCCTGAATGAAATGAACAAAAAGATGTGGAAGCAAAGAGAGGAAGCCTAGGTAGGCACTGCCATAAGGGCAGCTGGGAGGTAGAAGAAGGCTCTGGCCTCCCAGGAGGAGTTTGGGGAGCCTGTCTGACACTGTGGATATACTTGCCTTCAAGTGCTTGCAAAGCTGTCACGTTGATGAAAGCATTGAGTTTTATTTTTCGAGACGGCATTCTGAACTGGTGGCAATTCAAGTGAGAAGGACCGTGGCTCCAAGGAAAGAGCTTTCTACTAGGGGCTTCCTATCACTCAGCTCATGCAGCCTGGACCACTGTCTTCCATCCAAGATGCTGGAACATTAGTGTCCACACCCAGATACAAATAGAATCACACAGAGCAGCTTGTTCCAAATCAGCTTCTCAGGCCTCATCCCAGACACTCAGAGTTAGCAAGTCAAAGGAGGACCCCAACTTTGGGTTCCCAACAAGCACCCCAGGTGACTCTGATACAGCAGCATGTGAAATGAAATTTGGAAGCCACTTAGATAAATAATCTAAAAATGGTTCAACTCAAGTTTCATGTTATCCAGAGTCTGGCCTGCCCCCAAAGAGAGGTAAATTATAATAATCCTTTCTATTTCTTTCCAAGAAAGAAAAAGTCTTGGTTCTGCAACCTTGTTGTCTTGGCAACATTTCTTGTTGAAGTCTGTATTTCATCACTCAAATCCTTGCACCACAAGAAAATACAAGGCACCTTTAGAATTCTGCGGCAGGGAGAACATTGTAATCCCCCCGGGGACAGGCTGCGACACTATGTTAATGGGCTGTGTGGAACAGTGCTCAACCTGGAAAGGACACCTGTTCCCTGAAAGGGGGCCTGTCACTGCCCCCAGGCATCTGGAGACAAGGTCAGCAGGGTGAAAACACACCCTGCTGGGGTTGAGGGGATAATGGTTCACATCTTTTGTGGCCTGACCCTGGGCATATCACCTGACGATCTTGAGCCTAGTTTTCCATCTGTAAACTGTTGGCTACAATGTTCAGATGCATTTTAATTAATTCTGAAACTATATAGTAACTGTCACTTATGGAAGACCTACTGATATGGTTTGGATATTTGTCCCCTCCAAATCTCGTGTTGAAAAGTGACTCCCAGTGTTGGAGGTGGGAGGTGTTTGGATCACGGAGGTGGCTCCCTCATGCATGGCTTAGCACCATCCTCTTGGTGATAAGTGAGTTCTTGCTCATTTAGTTCACCCAGTGTCTGATTGTTTTAAAAAGGCTGGGCCCTCCTCCTTGCTCTCTTGTTCCTGCTCTCACTATGTGATGTGCCTGCTCCTGCTTCACCTTCTACCATGATTATAAGCTTCCTGGGGTCCTCAGCAGAAGCCAAGCTGATGGTGGTGCCATGTTTGTACAGCTTGCAGAAACATGAGCCAAATAAACCTTTTTTCTTTATAAATCATCCAGCCTCAGGTATTTCTTTACAGAAATGCAAAAACAACCTAACACACCTACGAGAAGCAAAGTGTGGAAGTGTTCTCTCTAATATACGTGTGTGTGCACATGGTAGAAGGACCACTACTTATACCTATGAGTAAAAGCTTCTGAGTCCTCCATGAAGCTGAGCAGATGCTGGTACCATGCTTGTACAGCCTGCAGAACTGTGAGCCAAACAAACCTCTTTCTTTATAAATAACTCAGCCCCAGGTATTCCTTTACAGCAATGCAAAATGAACTAATACAATGCTCATACATGTAAGTATGCATACATGCGTGTGTATACACATATGAATGTGTGTGTGTGTTTTTCTCATCCTTACAATAGCCTCAAGGTTGTTGTTATTCCCATTTTTCTGGTATAGAAAGTGAGGCTCCAAGAAGGTAGGTATCTTCAGGCAGGTCTCAGTTCAAGGGGAGCTATTTGCCAGTATCTGTCCATGCATGTACTCTTTGACTCAGCTATTCTACTTGTAAGTAATCAGCAGTGCTCTAGTTTTCTATTGCTTCTGTAACAGATTGCCACAAATTTCGTGTTTAAAAAACCACAAAGTTATTATCTCACATTTCTATGGCTCAGAAAGCCAAATGGCTCAGCTGGTTTCTCTGCTTTGGATCCCACAAGGCTAAAGTCAAGGTGTTGGCTGACCAGGGCTCTTATCTAGAGGCCCTGTGAGGAATCCAGTTGCAGACTCATTCAGGTTATTGATAAAACTTGGTTCCAAGCAATCATAGCACTGAGGTCCCTGATCCCTTGCTGCTGCCAGCCAGGACTGTTTCTCAGTATCTGGAGGCTTCCCACACTCCCTGGCTCAAGGATCCTTCTTTTTCAAAGCCAGCCATGGTGAGTTGTCTTTCTCATGATTCAAATCTCTCTGGCATTCCCTCATCCCTCCTGCCTCCAGCTGGAGAAAGCTCTGTGCTTTGAAGGGCTGTCTTAGTCTGTCTGGGCTGATATAACAAAATACCTGAGACTTGGTAAAATAATTTGTAAACAACAGAAATTTATTGCTCACAGTTCTGGAGGCTGGGCAGTCCAAGGTCTTCCTTACCAGCAGATTCAGTGACTGGCCAGGGCCTGTTCCTCAGAAATGGTATCTTCTGTGTGTCCTCACGTGGTGGGAGGGGCAACCAAGTTCCCTCAGGCCTTTTTTTTTTTTTTTTTGAGACAGAGTCTCGCTCTGTCACCCAGGCTGGAGTGCAGTGGCCTGATCTCGGCTCACTGCAACCTCCACCTCCTGGGTTCAAGCGATTCTCCTGCCTCAGCCAGCTGGGACTACAGGCACATGCCACCAAGCCCAGCTAATTTTTTGTATTTTTACTAGAGAGGGGGTTTCACCATGTTGGTCAGAATGGTCTTGATCTCCTGACCTGGTGATCCACCCGCCTCGGCCTCTCAGTGCTGGGATTACAGGCATGAGCCACTGCGCCCAGCCGTCTCAGGCCTCTTTTACGAGGGCACTAACCCCAAGAGTGCTCTACCCTCATGACATCATCATATCCCAAAGGCTCCGCCTCTTAATACCATCACCTTGGGGAGTAGGTTTCAACATACGATTTAGGGGCCATGCGTATATTTAGACCATAACAAAGGCTCATGTTATGAGGCTGTTCATCCAGATAATCCTGGGTAACCTTGGTTTCTTAAGGTCTATAACCTTGATTCCATCTACATAATCCTTTTTGTCATATAACATAACATACTCAAAAGTTCCAGGGATTAGAACGTGAATATCTTTGGGGCAGTCATTTTGTACAAACTGCACTTAATGCAAAATGATATATCTACAAGAATAGTCATTGCTGTATTCATTGTAATAGTAAAATAATGAAAATAACCTAAATATGCATCAGGAAGTGAGTTTATACATTATGGTTTATATGACGGAATATACTATGCAGTTGTTAAAAAGAATGTGGCAGCTCTATATGAGTTTATATAAAAGGATCATGTTATTGGCTGGATGTGGTGGCTCACGTCTGTAATCCCAGCACTTTGGGAGGCCAAGGCAGGTGGATCACTTGAGGTCAGGAGTTCAAGACCAGCCTGGCCGACATGGCAAAACCCCATCTCTACTAAAAAAACACACACACACACGCACAAAAACTAGCCGGGCATGGTTGTGTGGGTGCCTGTAATCCAGCTACTTGGGAGGCTGAGGCGGGAGAATTGCATGAACTTGGAAGGCGCAGGTTGCAGTAAGCCAAGATTGCAACACTGCACTCCAGCCCAGGTGATGGAGTGAGACTCTGTTTCAAAAAAATAAATTATGTCATTGTATTTGGTGCAAAAAGGAAGAGTATAAATGCTACAATTTGTATTTGTGTCTATTTATATGCATCAATGCCATGCAACATTTTTGGAAAAGATGCACAAAAGACTATTGACCCCAGTAGCCTCCCAGGAGGGCAGATGGGAGACAGAGCTATCAAGCTAGAGGACAGAGCTATCAGGGCAAGGTACTGACGCTGGAGCCAGGCTGCCTCGCTCAGCTCCGCACTGTAGTGTGAGTTTGGGAAGGTGATCTCTTTGTGCATTAAACTCTTAATCTGTTAGTTTCACAATGTCTTTGTGCCTCAGTGTCCTCATCTGCAAATGGGAATGTTAATACCACTACTTGTTGTAAGGTTAAAAAAAAATTCATGCATATATGCAAAGGTTTAGTGTACAGCCTGACACAGAGTAAATGCCATAAAAGTATTTGCTATCATGATCTGTCCAAGAACACATAAGTGAATTATGGAGGGCTGAGGGGAGGTGGTGCCACATTGCTATGACCAGCGACTATCATGCAGAACTTTTGAGCCCTCCCTACTGTGAGGGTCCAGAGAGAAGGGGCAGTTACTCGCCCGAGTCACTCTGAGAAGTAGAGGTTAGGCCTTGGAAGCCAGGCCAGGCTGAGCAGGGTCTCCTGGCTTTAGATCTAGTGGTTCCTTTTTGAGACAGAGTTTCACTCTCTCACCTAGGCTGGAGGACAATGGTGCAATCATAGCTTACTGCAGCCCTGAACTCCTGGGCTCAAGTGATCCTCCTGCCTCAGCCTCCCAAAACGCTGGGATTAAAGGACCGAGCCACTGTGCCCAGCCGGGTCTAGTGGCTCTTCCATGGCCCCATCAGTGGCAAGAGTGGTCACCAGGGAAGCAGCACATCTCTGCCCTGTTGCTTGCTCACCAATAAGGTGAGAAATAAAGGCTTTAATAGGTGCGATAACAATTTTTAGGAGATGCCACCTCAACCCAGGGTCTGTTTTCTGTTCCTTCCCTATGTACTCCCCTTAAATCTCCAGACCCCATGATACGTGAGCTAGAGCTATTTGAATTGGGCCTTTAACCTCAGTTCATCTCTTGTTTTGCAGCTGTGAAATAGGAGAATTAATATTACCCAGTTTCCCTGAAAGAGGCCTGAGTCACTTTGGTTATGCACCATTTTCCAACGCTCTGAGAAGCAGCCTCAAAGAACTACAAGAACCTTTTTAGAAGCAGTTGCAACTGACTGCCAAGGAAAGTTCTGGGCCATAATTCTTTAACGAAAACATTCAGACCTTTCCATGATTAATCAAAAGGGAAATAAGGAAAAGGGAAATCATGAATTCGTACTAAATCGCTACACTTGGAGCAGACGCTGCCTCTTGGCAATTCTTTCTCAGCACTTGTTCTGCCAAAGGGAGAAAAGGAAATAATGCACTGAGAATTTCTTCCCCTCTCTTCTGTCTCCTGATCTCTTATTTTTTTTCTTCTAAAGGTCAAATGTATTTGCTGAGCTGCCTCGACAAATACCTGCCCTCCACTCAGAGGCTGAAATGTCATTGCTGAAAATGAGGAAATGGAGTGACAGTGGAAGAGCCGTGGAGTGCGGGCTCCTAGTGACCGGCCCCTGCTGGGACACCCACCCCATGCAGACTTTACTACAGCCTTCGCAGAAGCTAACACTGTAATCAAGGCTGCAGGATTTCTGCTCCCTTGCTTTCCCTCTCTTTTGACTACATATTTTATTTCAGCCCCGTGGTGAATTATTTATTCGGAGGGGAGGTGGGAGAAAGTGAGGAGAACTCAGCCCTTTGGGAATAATAAGAATATAAGAAGACACAGCGGCCTTTCTCAGCCGGGAAACAGGAAGCACAGGTCTCCTTTTTAAATCTAACTAAGGAACTGGTAGAGTCGGCGGATGCTTGTTGAGTGTGGCTTTTGTGATGCTTCCAGTATGTAGCAGCAATGTTCCCAGATGTAGCCAAGGCCCAAACCTGGGGGAACCGCATGCCAGTCAGAGGGGAGGCTCAACCTCCCTCACTGGACGGGAATGCCTCCTTTGTGAAACCCACTTGGTAGGGCTAAGGAAAGGCTTGGACTTTGCTGATGTGGTCACTTCTCAGCTCCCAAACAGAGTGGGATGTAGCATCTGAGTAAAGGCTTACCCTGGCTTCAGAGGAGCTAGATAGAGATTCAACCCAGGGCCAGGCTTGTTTCTAATTAAAGTGGGCTTACCTGTCCCCAGCACCTGCACAGGTAATGAGACTCACCCAACATGCCCACCACTGCTATATCAGGTACCTCTGTAATGCTCCATCAGAATAGTCTACAAGAGTTCACAGGTTGGGCATGGTGGCTCACACCTGTAATCCCAGCGCTTTGGGAGGCCAAAGTGGGACGATAGCTTGAGGCCAGAAGTTCAAGACCAACCTGAGGAACATAGCAAGACCCTGTCTCCATAAAAACTTAAAACTTAACTGGCATTATGGCATACACCTATAATCTCAGCTATTTGGGAAGCTGAGGTGGAAAGGATCGCTTGAGCCCAGAAGTTCAAAGTTAAAATGGGCTATGATTGCGTCGCTACACTCCAGCCAGAGCAACAGAGTGAGAATGTCAAAAAACAAAAAAAAAGAGTAACACAACTTCCAGAAACTCATATGCCTTAGGAGCCATGAGAGAAACTGCTTCCATTTGACACATGAGCAATGTCCAGTGCTACTTTGGGTCCCATTGCCAATGTTTGCCTAACATTAGTAAATCATTCCTGTTTACACCGGGGTTTTGCAGTTATTTTCTCTGGAAGTTCTGTGTTGTGGATTAGCTGGAAGGCAGCGGAGGATTGAGTCTGGGGAGCTCCTTATGAGACGCAAATAGCTGAAAGAGTGGGCAGACAGCCACAAAGCCCTCCTGCTCCTCCAGGGCTCGTTGGCCAAAGAAAAGTCATGTTCTGGCTACAAGTGACATCCAGAGAGCAATTTTACTTTTATTTCTACATTTTTACAATGTTCATTTTTTATTGACTAGGGAGATACAGTTTATGATTAAACAATATTGACTTGCCATAGAGTCATTCTGGTTGCATTCATTTTGGCATTGGATTACCTGGGATCAAATTCCCGCTCAGACATTTGCTAACTCTGCCATCTTCAGCACTTAATGTACATGAGCTCTCTAAACGTCCTAGCAACCCTGCAAGGCAGGCACAATGAGTATCCCCATTGCACAGACTGGACAACTAAAGCTTAGAATAAGTAAATGCATGAGCAGGCATTTGATCCTAGGCAGTCTGGTTCCAAAATGAACATAACCAGAATGGGTACTGAAATAGTTATGATTCTAAACACTCCCTGTGTCAGCCAGCTCCAGCTGCCATAACAAAGTGCCACAGATTGGGTGGCTTAAACAACAGACATTTATTTTTTCACAGTTCCAGAGGCTGGAAGTCTGAGATCAAGGTGTTGGCAGGGTTGGTTTCTCCTGAGGTCTCTCTCCTTGGCTCGCAGATGGCTGTCTTCTCCCTGTGTCCTCACGTGGTCTTCCCTCTGAATGTGTGAGCATCCCTGGGGGCTCTTTGTGTGTCCCCATCTTCTTACAAGGACACCAGACATACTGGACTAGGGCCCACTCCAATGATCTCATTTTAACTTGGTTACCTTTTTAAAGATCTTGTCTCCAAATATGGTCACATTCTGAGGTGCTGTATGTTGGGGCTTCAACACGTGAATTTTGGAGGGACATGATTCAGCCCCTCACACCCCCATTTCTCAGATGAGGAAACTGAGGCACGGAGCAGTTAGAGCATGCAGAACGTCAAAGGTAGAGCCAGCATTTAGACCTTGGGCAGACCAGTCCGAGGGTCCTGCTGCCAACTTCTACACCACAGTTTCCCAGGCTCGAGTGCAGGGGTCAGACCATTGCTTTACATCTTGAGACCATGATGCTGGCTGTTAGGAAACGAAGGTGCTGGGATTCAGGAGAGCTGGTAGAGTGCTAGCATCAGCGCCCTATGTCCAAGGCAAGAAAATAAAGGTAAATTGGAGATTGAGTGTCTGATCTCAGGTCTTGCAATACATCTGCAGAGAGAAGAGAAGTTTCTAGAAGGCAAGCCCTCTGGCTCTGATCCCTCCAAGGGAGCCTCTGCACTCTGGCCCTAAAACCTGGTCCCATTAAGTGCTCAGGCCTGGAGTCAGACAGAATGGGCTTCTATGTGCCTTGGGTAAACCACTTAACAATTTGAACCTCTGTTTCCTCAGTGAGAAACATACACAAGGCTGATGGTGAGTTTTCTGAGACGAGACATGTTTCCAGCACTCCCCACAACACCTGGCACATAGCAGGCTGTCCGTAACTGCAATCATGATTGGGGTCCCACCTCCCAGGCCCCCCTGCAGGTGCAGCAGGAGGAGCAAGGACACAGGTCATGCCCAGTCTGTGAGGAGGTGGCACCAGGCTGCAGCCATGAGTCTTAAGCTGAGCTACAATCTCCCCAGGAACAAGGAGATTGGAGCTCGATTCTACTCCTCCAGGTTGCAGGCAGAGCCAAATACACTGAGAGGCTTAACATTCCAGATTAATTCTTCCCTCCAGTGGTTTGCAAAAGCTGTGAGTTTGAAAAGAAACAAACTCAAACTTTGAGAGTAAGAGTAGGGAAGTGGGAGATGGTACTGTTTCAGACAAGGGTGGGGTTGGTGGACATTTCGCAACAAAGCCCCAGTGGCACAGGCTGTATTTGGGCTTTCCTGCTGCATTGAGAGGTCAGCAAGATTGCCTTGGCTGGGAACCAAACTCATCCTGGTTTCCTGTCTTGGGATCTCAAGGGGCTAGAATGAGCTGCTATTCCAAGGGAGAGAAGAAAGCAACCCCAGGAAGCCTGGCCCCGAAGACTGTGAGGTATGGTGGGGCCTTGCTGTGCTCTGGACTGGACAAGAGGCACCCTGGGCTCTGGACACAGCCAGATCTTCAGCCAATTGCATCTCCGGCCCAGGGCAGGCCCTTTATCTTATAGCCCAGTGGTGCCTCTCTCCTCACCTAGGAAACAAAGCCAACAGGATCTGCACCACCTCTGCCTCCCGGACATTGGAAGGACTAAATAAGATCAGGTACGTGCAAAGAGTTGCAAAAATAACCAAAAGGTAGGTGCTGCGTGGAATCCAAGCTGCTCATGTTATTGTGCGTTTGGCATCCTCCAGGAAAGCAGCCAGGCAGCGGGGCCATCTCGTGTGCCCCAGTGCAGGTGACAGAGCTCTAAACAATTCACACCATCTGAAATATGCAGAAAACATAACTGCAGAAAGCTCACGACAATAGATTTCCCCTCATTCTTTTTTTGTAGAAGGTGTAAAAATAATGATATGTGATTATTATAATCACAAACTCCATGAAATTAACAATTTAGCCAACATTTATTGAGAAGTGACGAGGTGGAAGACCATGCTGGCTACTGTGGAAGCGTTCAGGGTAACCAAGCATATTTCTTATTTCCAAGATGTTTATAGACGAGAGGCGGAAGAGCAGTTTTCACTGTATCTGTGTGCTCGCTCTTCCTTTTATTCAATCAGTAAGCATCTATTTAATGCGTATCGTCAAGCACTATGCCAAGTTCTAGGGGTTCACACAATATAAAAATACATGAACATCATAAATGGTTTGATAGAACAAAGTATACAGGGAGCATAGGGAAGGAAAGGTTAATCCTGACTTAAGAAATCAGAGAAAGCTTCCTGGAGGAGGCAACATATGAGCTGTCTTTAACTGATGGCTGAACTTCTAGTGCTTCGAGATGGGAGAAGAGCCCTGAAGAGAAAAGGAGGTAAGAATGCAGGCAACAACTCAGGGGGGCCCCTGCTGGCCTCAGTGTGGGTGGGTGCTTGTCTCGGTGTAGCTGGAGTGAACGCAAGAGTGGTCCCAGCTCAGAGCCGTCGGAGGGCCTAAGCTCCCCACCCAAGCCCCAGAGCTGGCCCCCCGTCTCTCTTTCCCATGATTCGGCTTTGCCCTGTTTCCCACAGCAAACCAGAGGTGAAGATGGGAATTCTTAACCACAGTCACTTTCCAGCTCGCCACCACTGCTTTCAGGTGGGGACCCTGGGACCCTCTTGCTGGACTTTCACTGCAGACCCCGACTCGCCTTTGCATCAACACCCACCAGGCACTGCGCCCCTCACTTCCCTGAGCTCCTCCCCCAGCTAGCTCTCCCATTCTCCCTTAGGTGTCTCTGAGTGGAACAGGGACAAGATAACGTATGTTTCTACTACAGCATAATCTCAGGGCAGTATTGTGCAAAGGGCTAGGAGTTTCTTTCCTTCCTCTTGCCAAACTTTCCGACAGGGGTGGTGCGGAAGGTGCTGGAGATGCGGGGATCACTGCTCAATTCCGAATCCTCGACTGCAGAGCCGTTGAAAGGGTCAGAGCTGGGCAGCTGTACTGTCTTTTTTTTTTTTTTTTTTTTTTTTTTGAGATGGAGTCTCTCTCTGTCACCAGGCTGAAGTACAGTGGCGCAATCTTGGCTCACTGCAACCTCTGCCTCCCAGGTTCAAGTGATTCTCCTGCCTCAGACTCCCAAGCAGCTGGGACTACAGGCGTGTACCACCATGCCCAGCTAATCTTTTTGTATTTTTAGTAGAGACAGGGTTTCACCATGTTGGCCAGGATGGTCTGTATGTCTTGACTTCGTGATCCACCCGCCTCAGCCTACCAAAGTGCTGGGATTACAGGTGTGAGCCACTGTGCCCGGCCCGGGCAGCTGTACTTTCTGAAAGAGACTCTTGGGTCAAGGGCACAGGGATGTGGGAGAGGAACCAGGCAGCAGCCAAGTCTGGAGGCTATGGGGCAATGTCAGAGAGATACAGGGAAGACCTGGACTCCGGATGAGCCAAATGGAATGGAAGAAGTGAAGACATGTGAGAGAAGTTGTCAAAGAGACCCAACAGAATTTGCCAGTGGCCTGCAATTGGCAGGCTTGAGTGAGGCAAGAGGGACAGACTGTGTGGAGGTCTTGAGGCGGGTGACCAGGAAGATGACTGTCCAGTACTCCCAGCTGAGGAAGGAAGGAAAGAAAAGCCATTCTGCAGGCTGCGGGGTTGGGGGTGTGAGGGGGGCAAGCTCAGCTGGGAGCCTCTGAGTGGAGCAGCGCTGAGTACCTCTGTGTGGCCCGAGGAGACATTGACAGGCTGGACGCTCACCTCGGGCCACCTGGAGGGCATCAGCCCCCAACACTCAGCACAGGGCCCAGCCACGGGCCAGGGAGGGAGGAGGACATGAGGCCCACCTCACAGGCTTCAGCAATAGCAGCAGAGTGTCCTGTCGGCGCTGCCTGCAGGCCTCCTTCTGCCCTCCCATCATGAGGAAAGCCCCTAGGAAAGTCCTGGCAGCAGTAAAGAGCGCTCCAACGTGCTGTGTTCTCAGACTAGAACCATTTCTGCCCATTGTAGATACTTGTCCTGTAGGTAATCCTATTAAACATTCTGGGATTTTCCCACAGGCTCTAGCATGAAACCACAATCTCAGAGGCAGTGAAATTTAGCTCAGGGAGATTCTTTGGAAAAATAATGATCACAAGAGTTTTTCACATGGTGTGGGGACCAAAACTCACCCCAAATCCTACAAGAAGGCAGACTGCAGGCAGATAAAATACTAACTTAAAAAAATTGTATTTCCATAGGTTTTTGGGGGAACAGGTGGTGTTTGGTTACATGAATAAGTTCTTTAGTGGTGATTTGTGAGATGCTGGTGTACCCATCTCCTGAGCAGTAAACACTGTACCCAAAGGGTCGTCTTTTATCCCTCCCCACCTTCCCACCCTTTCCCCCAGAGTCCCCAAAGTCCATTGTATCATTTTCATGCTTTCGTATCTTCATAATTCAGCTCCCACTTAGGAGTGAGAACATCCAATGTTTGGTTTTCAATTCCTGAGTTACTTCACCTAGAATCATGGTCTCCAATCCCATCCAGGTTGCTGCAAATGCCATTAATTCATTTCTTTTTATGGCTGAGTAGTATTCCATCGAAAATACTGACTTATGCCAAAAGTAAGGCTAAGCATGACAGGAGTTCATATTTCCTTCCAGTGGCTGGTGTCCTGTCTCCATCCTGCCTGGGATAACACTGAAAATCGCCTTAACTTCCTACGTCCTGGTATGAGCAGATGGCCTGCAGGAGACTTGAAGGAGCTTAGCTTTCTTTTCTATCTTGAACACACATGCAGACAGGTGAATCGAAGTGAGAGGAGGCAAAAATGTCTCCCCCGACTCCCGTGGAGAAGCGGAGCTGTCCTGGTTGGACTAGGCATAGTTATCATCAGTTGCCAGTCCCTGGGCATCTGCCTGAAGGCCCCAGCCTTCCTGGAGGAGTCTTTTTCCTCACTACGTGTCCCCACCATAATCCATGTCCCTTGTATTAGTTTGCTAGGACTGCTGTGTAACAAAGGACCACAGCCTCGCTGGCTTAACCCACATAAACTTATCATCTCTCAGTTCTGGAGGCTGGAAGTCTGAGATCAAGGTGCTGGCAGGGTTGGTTCCTTCTCAAGGCAGTGAGAAGGCATCTGCTCCACACCTCTCCCCTAGCGTGTGATGGTTTGCTGGCCATCTTTGGCATTCTGTGGCTCATGGAAGCAGCACCCTCATCTCTGTCTTCATCTTCACATGATGTTCCCCTGCATGCGTGTCTGCCTCCAAATTCCCCCTTTTTATAAGGTCTCCCTTTATAAGGACTCCAGAATGACAGTATCTTAGCTAATCAAATCTGCAACAACCCTATTTCCAAATAAAGGTCTCATTAAGAGGTGCTGGGAATTAGGACTTGAACATGTCGGTAAGAGGGTGGTACACAATTCAGCCCATCCCATTCCTCCTCTCTCTCTCTCTTCAAAAACCTTTCACAGAGACCTCATTCCTAGATGGAACGAGGAATGGTAGCGACCACGATCCTCCCCTCCCAGGATCTGCGCCACAAGGGAAGATCAGAACCTTCAGCTGCCAGAAGCACTGTGGCGGAAATGTAGGTCCCCATCCAGGCTGATCTGAGCTTGGCTTTCTGGAGCACGCAAACCTCGATGCACTGAACTGCTGCCGGACCTCACCTTGCCAGGCCCACTGTGCTCACACTCACACATCGCTCCATCCACTGGAGGCTGCAGAGGCAAGATCCACCAAGAAGATGGTCTTCCTGTCCAGGATGCCCTTCCCTGAGAGAAGTGTATTTAATCTTAAATTCAGATGTTTGTTTGTCTACCCACTTAAAACACCCTGTTGAATAAAAATTACTCAAGGAACACATGGAGGCTTTGTCCATGTAAAAGAACAAATATCATTCTCTTCCTGGAGCTGTCTCCTCATAAAATTGTCTTCCCTTGCTCTTCTAAATTGCCTTCCCCACTTTGCACCCTTCTCTGACCTCTTACCCATGAGACTTTGGAAGGACCCCGTGGTTCAAGGCCGGGAGCTTGTGTCTGGCTGCAGCAGTCATCTTAGGCTCCCAGAGGCTACCTGCAGAAAAGTGGAGTATGTGATGCCTGCAGCCCGAGGGGCCATCCCCAGGGGAGTCACAACCAGGAGTGTTTGATGCCTGCCACTGAACCCACAGTTCTTTTAAAGGGAGCTTCAGATTATCTATGGGGAAGGGGAATCTTTGAGTGGTATTAGGGCCGGAAGGGGAGAGCTGGGAATTCATCTGGAAGCCAGATTTGCATAGCAAACACAATGGCTTTGCAGGAAGCATATCCTCATTTAGATGACATTTGATTACAAAAGGTGTTCAATGCTTATACACTGTTGGCGGGAATGAAAATTAGTTCAGCCACTGTGGAAAGCAGTTTGGAGATTTCTTAAAGAACTAAAAATAGACCTACCATTTGAGCCAGCAATCCCATTACTGGGTATATACCCAAAGGAAAATAAGTCATTCTACCAAAAAGACACCTACACTCGTATGTTTATTGCAGCACGATACACAATGGCAAAGACATGGAAGCAACCTAGGTGTCATCAACGGAGGATTGGATAAACAATAAGCAGTACATATACAACATGGAAAACTATGTAGCCATCAAAAAGAAGGAAGTCATGTCCTCTGCAGCAACATGGATACAGCTGGAGGCCATTATCCTAAGCAAATTAATGCAGAAACAGAAAAATGAATGATCACATATTCTCACTTAATGAGTGGGAGCTAACCCCTGGGTACACATGGATGTAAAGGCGGGAACAAAAGACACTGGGGACTCCAAACGGAGGCGGGAGAAGGAGGGGCAAGGGCTGGAAACCTTCCTATGGGTGCCCTGTTCACTATCTGGGTGACGGGATCAATGGAAGTGCTGCACCAAACCTCAGCACTATGAAACATACCCTTGTAACAAACCTGCGCATGCACCTCTTGAATCTAAAATTTAAATTTAAAATTTTTTAAAGATTTTTTTTTATTTGTAAGTTACTAACTAACTTGAGAAGGGGTCCGTAGCCCACATCCGCTCTAGTGGGCTCCCAACCCCTCCTCAAGTTAGTACCCCAGTCCTGGGTTCTAGCTCTTCCCTGAGCCATCCCCTTCTCCATTCTTCTTTGTCTTGGTCTATTTGGGCTGCTGTAACAAATTACCATAGATTCGGCGGCTTAAACAACAGAAATTTATTCCTCTGGGTTCTGGAGGCTGAAAATCCCACATCAAGGCATCGGCAGATTTGGTGCTTCATGAGGGCTGCTTCCTGATGGCCATCTTCTCATTGTATCCTCCCAAAGGGGGAAGAGAGATGGAGAGCCGTCCCCTGTTTCTCTTCTTTTAAAGGCACTAATCCCATTCACAAGGACCCTGCCCTCATGACCCAATCACTGTCTAAAGGCCCCACCTCCTAACACCATCCGCTTGGAGGTTAGAATTTCAACACGTGAAATCCTGGGTGGACACAAACATTCCATGTAATGCCTGTCTCCATGGCCAGGCTGGTCAACTGTATCTCCTCTTGCTTCCTGATAAGAAATACCTTCTAGCCACGTGCAGTGGCTCACACCTGTAATCTCAGCAATTTGGGAAGCCAAGGCAGGTGGATCGGTTGAGCCCAAGTGTTTGAGGCCAGTCTAGGCAAACCAGTCTGGGCAACATAGTAAGACCCTGTCTCTACAAAGAAGAATTTTTTTAATTAGCCAGGTATGCTGATGCAGGCCTTTAGTCTCAGCTACCCAGGAGGATGAGGTGGGAGGATCTCTTGATCCCTGGAGATCAAGGCTGCAGTGAGCCATGGTTGCTCCACTGCACTCCAGCCTAAGTGACAATGCAAGACCCTGCCAAAAAAAAAAAAAAAAAAAAAAAAAAAAAAAGGAAGTATCTTCTTCTACCTCTTTACCCCTTGATTCCCAAACTGCTTGACTCTTTGCATCTTGATATCTTGGTCTTGTTTTGCCCAGTTTAGATTTGTTCATCTGGCTCTGTACAAGTCACCTGATTTCTGCTGCTCTGGAAAGCCTGCAGGACTGTGAACACCATAGCCTATAATCAAGGGCCCAAGGAGCATGAGCTGGCCCTGTCAGAAGCAAGGACTCTGCCTATTTGTCAACCCAGTTCCCTGAGACCTGGACTTAGGGACCCCCAGCTATCTCTGTTCTCTCAAGTGTAAAATGAGGGTCCAAATGATCCACTTTGCAGATTGCTAGGATGATGACACGAGGCAGCCATGCAAATCCCCCAGCACAACGCCTGACATCTCCCCTAATCTCTTAACCATTACTGCTGCCATCAGTGAGGCTCCTACCCTCAATGTGGCCTCACCTGAGCCTTAGGGCAGGGTGGCTTTCAGGAACCTGTGGTTCTGAAGAGGTGGCTGAGTTTGGGTTCCCTGCAAGGTAGGTATCTGAGTGAAGTAGTTTATGTGGGTGCTGATCCTGGAAGCATGAGGGAGGGAGCGGGGCAAGGAGACGGAGAAGAGTGTGCTGTCAAGATCATCACTTCGGAAAAGGAGGGCGGGACCTCACCAGGTCCTCTGAGAAGGGTGCAGGACTCCTTGCAGCGCTGCTTTGAAGGGTGGGGCTGAGGCCTTTATCCCTACACTTCATCACCATTAGTGATTGCTCCTGAGAGGCTGCATCTCCTGTCCTTCTCAGGTGTCAGACTCAAGGGACATCAGTAAAGGCCCTGGGGTAGACAGTGAAAGGACACAGGCTTGTGGCAAGTGCTAGTTGCTGGAAGGGAGTTAAGTTCACATGGACTGGCCCATGAGGCTGCAGTGAAATTCAGAGGTGGGCGCAGGAGGTGTGGCCCCCACCCTAGGGGCATCTGCTCCAGGGAGTGAGACCAGAGAGTGAGGTAGTCACCGTACTCATAGAGGCTGTGTATATGTATGTTTTAACTTCTTTATTTTAGTGCATTTGCTTTATTTTGTTTTACAAAGGTAATATATGCTCATGGTAAAATTCAAATAATTCATAATGTTGACAAGTGAAAAGTAAATAAAAGATAGTTTTCTCCCCTAAACCTTTATTCCCACTCTCCAGAAGTAACTTCATTTTATAGTTTCCTGAACTTCTTTCTCAATATTCTATCCACATATACGCACAAATACCTATTTCTACCTTTGTTTTGTTTTACCCAAAATGGATTCCAACCATACATAACTTACATAACTGCTTTTTTTTTTTCCCACAAAGTAACATCCCCCCGAGATAGGTAGATGTAAATCTAGCCTGTTCTTCTTAACAAATGAATAATAATCATTGTGTGGTTGTACCATAATGTGTAATTGTCTGCTATTAGTGGCGATTTAAGTTGTTTCCAGTCCTTGCTATCACAAGCAATGCTGCAAGGACCATGTGTGTACATGTATCTTTTGCATGCTGCTTCAAGTATCTCTGCAGAGTAAAATCCTTGAAGTGCTTCATCAAAGCTACGTTCATGTAAAATTTTGACAGAGATTGCTAAATTGCTCTCCAAACACATTGCATCAGTTCACACTCCCACCAACAGACAAGAGTGTGGGTTTCCTCTTATCCTGCCACGCTCAGAATTATCCAGTGTTTAAGTCTTTGCTAATTGTTGTGCAAAAACAATTACATCTGGTTGCTTCAATTCTTTATTAGTGAGGATAAACATCTTTCCATGTAGCTACTGACCATTGCATTTCTTTTAAGGAAATCACTTTTGTCTATGTTTCTGTGGGGTGCTTCATATTTTTCTTATTGATTTGGAAGAGTTCTTCATGTGCCGATAGGGTTTTAATGATTGAATCACCACAGTGAGAATTCTTTTCGGGCTCCTTATATCAGATTTCCCCTGACCTGGTTTATCATCCGAATCATCTGGGAAGGTTCACAAAGTACACATTCCTGGACCCCATCCCAGAATTCCTGACTCAGTTTGTCTGCAGTGGAGCCAAATATCCGCATCCTTGTATTTTTTAAAGCTCCCTAGGTGATTCTGGTGACCAGAATCCTCAGTGGCTGGCTTAAGGGACAGCAGAATTTACCACTTTCAGGCTGCCCTTTGTGTAAGACAGGTTCCCATCTTCTTAGGGCAAGTGAGAAGAGCCTGCAGTATCAGGTGTCTGCTACTTTCTCACAAGGTTTCAGAGGACAAAGAGAGCAGAGACTGAAATCAGGGCCAGGTTGAGCATGGTTGACTCTGACTCACTAGGCCTTAAACCCTTCTCCCCCAGAGGGAAGCATTGCCCAAAACCAAGAGAGGCAGCTAGCCTCCTGCTTCAGACCTCCCAAAAGGGAAATAGCAGGTTGCTTGCTTAGGGTCGTTCAGGATGTGGCTCACCCTTTTTGTTTGGGTAGATTGTTTCCTTAGGGCACCGGTTGCTGGCTCTGGTCCTCCATCAGTGTATTGGTCACTTTCAGGGCAAGTGCTGTGAGCTTCTTCCCATCCCCCACCCAGAGCCAAGTTCAGCCTCCCAGATGAGGCTGAGTATTCTGGGGGTTGAGAGCAGAGCTTCTTTCCTTGAACAAAGCAGGGTGTCTTCTTTCTGGTCCTATGTCATTGTCATTCTCTTTGGCATCCCTCCCATGTGGATGTGACTTGCAAAATTGGATTAAAGTCGGCTGTTTGTAACTCAGAATTCACTTTTCCATGGAGACTCTGTTTGGATGGAAGTTAACTGCCAGCGTGGTTGGTGAAAGTCCACTTCACCCGCGAGGTGGGTGGGTGTGAGTCCCAAGGGTGCCATCCCTCTCCCTGGCTCTGTCCTCAGCCAAGCATAGGGGTGACCCTCACCTTCCTCAACCACAGTAGTGGCCTGGAAGGCAGGGCAGGGGAGCCCCCATTGTAGAAAATTCTTTAGAAATATTCTTTATAAATCAGACAACTCTAAGTTATACAAGTTGGGGACCTCTGATATTGCACAATTGTTCTGCTTTACTGTCCAAAGAACACCAGGGAAGCTTGGCCTATTTTATAAAAATAATAGAAAGAAGAATAGATCAAGTTCAAGTTCATAAATAAAACTGATTTATAGATTGTAAAATCCACTTCTTAAAAACTCTGGCACTAAAACAAATTTACAGCTGGCTGCAGCCTGTAAAATCTGTTTCTTACTTTCCCTCAAAAGAGTTTGATTTAAACTCATTTCTTCCCAAACCCTTCCAAGCACTCAATTCTGATAACACTCCGAATTACTGAGACTCTCTCAGTGTAATGGTGCTAGGTTCATTGCCTGATGCACAGTGAGTCAATATACTGAGACACCGAAGTTTGCAGCAGAGAAAGAGTTGAATAATTGTAGGGTAGCTGAATGAGGAGATGGGAGGAAACCTCAGTTCCAACTCCCTGACAGGTTTGGGGATGGGTTTTTTCAGGGGTCTGGAGGGTTGAAGGAGTAGGATGTGGAAGTGGTTGATTGGTTGATAAGTGAAGGGGGACATTGATGATGAAACCACATTTCTGTGCTGAGTCAGTTCTTTGGTGGGGGTCCTCAGACCGATTGGCGTCAATCGTTCTGCTGGAATTCAGAATCTGAAGAACACCTTAAGCAATTCTCCAGTATAAAGGTCCAGCGTCAGAAATTCTATCTATAGGAATGGCAGGGAGCAGGTGGCCAGCATGCTACATAGCTCTTGGTTAGTTAGCAGCTGCGGGGAAGGAGGTTGAAGGGCACAAGTGCTCCCTGGTCAATGCTTAACTATAATTCTGCCTAAAGCCTGGCTTGTAATTCTCATTAACCCTGTGAGGGCAATTTCCTCAGTCCCAAGGACCCCTGCTCAGTTAGATTGTCATATTTTCCCTAAAGCTGTGAGTTACAAGATTGGCTGCAAGCAACCCTCTACCCCAAATTGCCCAATGGTGATTTCTTTTTCTTCCCATGACTTTGCCACTTGCACTGACCTTCACAGATTGTCCCTCTTGGAAGAAGTCAGGGATGGTCACTCATAGGATCATGCCTTTCTCATTTATCAGATATATATATATGATATATATATTTCTCATTTATTTTATATATATATATATCAGCATGACTTTATGTATGTAAAGTTACTTTGGATTAGAAAGAAAAGGGGAAGAAAAGGCAGCCCTTCTTCCAAGATGGTGAAGGCAGAGATGAGAACAGAGAGTCTCTACACCCAAACCTCAGGGTACCTACATTGCAGCTATGAAAGTTCAATTATCCATTTAGTTGTCTAGACTCACACTGTAAGGGCAGAGCTTTATTTATTCCTGTCCTCCCTTCCAACCCTCCTTATCCCCCGCCCCTGCTTCATTTTTCTCCACTGCATGTGTCATTATATGGCATACTAAATAGTTTACTTATTTATTTATAAACTTCATAAAAGCAGGCATTTAAAACATTTTTTTTTAAATTCACCACTATATTACCAGCATGTAAAACCATTGCTGGCACATTTTGAATGCTTGATAAATATTGGTTGAATGGATGAAGGTTGAGAATATTGCTCAAACCCTATCTAGGTTTGTTTTAAACTGTCAACATCTCTGTAGATTTACTCCTGTGTTTATGAATTTCCTTCTTCACCCTCCTTCCTTGCAGCCCACTCTTTCCTTCTGGGTTCAGTCTCCTTACTCCTGAAATACACACTTAGTAGTTCTTTCAGTGTGGTTCTGCTAGCCAAAAATTATTTTAATCCTTGTTTGAAAATACATTTGTTTTCCTCTGATTCTTGAATAATGTTTATATTGCCATAGAATTCTAGGATATCATTTATTTTGAAATGAAATTCCAGTGTATCTAATAGCATTTACTTTTTATGCCATCTTTTTCTCTGTGGTTGTTTTTAAGATCTTTCTTTTGAGTATTCTGTAGGTTCACTGATGAATCTACATGTGGGTTTACTTTTATTCATGTTTCTTGGGATGCATTGCACTTCATGAATCTGAAGATTTGTGTCTGAAATCCATTCTAGAAAGTTCTTAGCCATTTTCCTTCAAATATTAATCTTCTCCCATTCTCTCTATTCTGTACTGGAACTTCCATTAATAGATAAGGTGGATTCTCATAATTTTCAGTAGTTATGTTCCATAAAGCCACCTCAGATATTGAATCAAGAAATACAGAAACATGCTCCTGGTGGAAATATAGGGTTAGATTTCTACAAATCTTCAGTGACAACATTTTCACCAACCGATCAATACATAACCTTGTTCTGTGTGTGTTTTTTGGTTTGACTGCACAGTCATGAGCTATGTAATGACATTTCAGCCAACGATGGACCATATATATGACAGTGTCCCATAACATTATAATAGAGCTGAGAAATTCCTATTGCCCCATGACATCACCCTGAGCAATTGACTACTGAGGAGTTGTTGGAGCTGGAACAGGAACACATATCTGAAGAAAAGTCAAGTAAAAGGAATCAGTAGAAGAACAAGAAGGAAAACACCCACAAAAATTCAGTGCAGGGTTTAGCAGAAGCATTTGCAGATCCCAACAAGCTCCTTAAAAAGTTGAAAACATTAACCCCAACACTGGAAAGTTTTCATTAGTAGACAGGAATGTTCATGATGCACTATCTCCTTACAAGCAAATCTATGATTAAGAAAGAAAGCAAGAAACCAAGCAAATCACCATGGCCATATATGTCTGAAAAGCGTGACATCCCAATAAAAGCCTCAGGCAGGTCCTCCAGGAAATGTTCCAAAAGGAGGCCTTGTTACCATAGGAGATAGTATTATGTTATTGCCCCTGAAGCACTTCCAGTGGGACAAGATGTGGAGGTGGAAGGCAGGGATATTGATGATCTTCACCTTGTGTGGGCCTAGGCTAATGTGTGTGTCTGTGTCTTAGTTTTTTTGTTTGTTTGTTTTTGTTTTTTTGAGACACAGTCTCGCCCTGTTGCCCAGGCTGGAGTACAGTGGCATGATCTCAGCTCACTGCAACCTCTACTTCCTGGGTTCAAGCGATTCTCATGCCTCAGCCTTCCAAGTAGCTGGGACTACAGGTGCCTGCCACCATGCCTGGCTAATTTTTGTATTTTTAGTAGAGATGGGGTTTCACCATGTTGGCCAGGCTTGTCTCGAACTTCTGACCTCAGGTGATTCACCTGTCTCGGCCTCCCAGAGTGCTGAGATTACAGGCATGAGCCACCACATCCGGCCCAGTTTTTAACATAATTTTTTTAAAGTTTTTAAAAATTTTAAATAGAAATAATCTTATAGAATAAGTATATAAAAGATTTTGTACAACTGTACAGTGTGTTTGTGTTTTCAGTTGTGTTATTACAAAAGATTCAAAAAGTTTAAAAATTTGGAAGTTTCCAAAGTAAAAAACTTACAGTAAGCTGAGGTTAATTTATTATTGAAGAAAGAAAAGTTTTTAAAATATAAATTTAGTGTAGCCTAAATATAAAGGGTTTATAAAGTCTACAGTAGTGTGTGGTAGTGTCCTGGGCCTTCCCATTCACTCACCACTCACTCACGGACTCATTCAGGGCAACTTCCAGTCCCACAAGCTCCATTCATGGTAAGTGCCCTAGACAGCGTACTATTTTTCATCTTTTATAGCCATATTTTTACTGTACCTTTCCCATGTTTAGATATACAAATATTTACCATGGTGTTACAGTTGCCTACAGTGTTCAGTAAAGTCACACTACACAGATTTGGAGGCTGGGAGCGATAGGCTATACCATATAGCCTAGGTATGTAGTAGGCTGCACTGTCTAGCTTGGTGTAAGTACACTCTGTGCTGTTCATACAACAAAAGCACATCTAAAAGCACATTTCTCAGAACGTATCTTCATCATTAAGCAATGCACATCATTAAGCGATATACTTTTGATGTTATTTTTGATTTTTTACCACCGAATTCAGAGCCAATGGCACTACACCTTATGCATAAAGGAAACTTCTCTACCGTGTATTTTCTCCACAAGGCACATCACAGCCTTGCAGTGCATAGGAAAGCTGGACAGCACTTCAACACTATCCTTGGAGGCCATTTCAACAGCAAAGTCACAAACAAAAAGCACAGAAATGTGGAAAGCGTGGCATTAAATACACCACCACAAGAACGCTTGTTTGCAGCCTGAAAGCTGAAACAAGAAGGCAGATTATTGCCTCATTCCACCTCAGCTGGAAGCTTCTCATCCGGCCACTGAGATTTTTCACCACTCTGTGCATGGCTGCTAATGACTGTGAAAGTACTGCAAGTAATTAATCTTGGGGTTACAAATCAATTTTAGCAAGTAGGCAAATGAGCAACATGGAATCTGTGAGTAACGAGGGATAACTATCACTATTTGTTTTTGCTGCTGAGGAGTGTCCTTACTTTCTTAAAAGCTTAGCTGTGCATTTCAAAAAATCAATTGTTACATGTTGATCATTACTTCTAGGTATTCTACAAACAAGAAAGTTTTCAGGTTATCTAATCCAGAATAGTGCCAGAAAAGAAAGTCCTTGTCACAAGTGAGAAATGAATAAATGAGTTGGTAGTTTGTGGGTCGAGGGTGTCTTGGTTTTGCTGTACATATTTCTTTTTTCTTTTTTTTTCCTTTTTTATTTATTTATTCATTTATTATTTGAGACAGGGTCACAATTTGTTGCCCAGGCTGGAGTGGAGTAGCATGATCATGGCTCACTGCAGCCTTGAACTCCTGGGCTCAAGCAATCTTCCCACCTCAGCCTCCCTAGTGGCTGGGACCACAGGCCTCACCATACCTGGCTAATTTTTGTACCTTTTGTACAAATGGGGTTTTGCCGTGTTGCCTAGGCTGGTCTCGAATTCCTGGGCTCATGCAATCCACCTGCCTTGGCCTCCAAAAATGCTGGGATTACGCATGAGCCACCATGCCCAGCCTGGTTTTTAAAAAAATATTTAAAAATTTTTTAAATTGACGAATAATTTTTTTAACTTTTATTTTAGGTTTGGGGGCACATGTGAAGGTTTGTTACACAGGTAAACTCATTTCACAGGGATTTGTTGTACAGATTGTTTCATCACCCAGGTATTAAGCCCAGTAGCCAATAGTTATCTTTTCTGCTCCTCTCCCCCCTCCCGCCCTCCAGCCTCAGGTAGGCCCCAGTGTCTGCTGTTTCCTTTTTTGTGTTCATAAGTTCTCATCATTTAGCTCCCATTTGTAAGGGAGAATACGAGGTATTTCGTTTTCTGTTCCTCTGTTAGTTTGCTAAGGATAACGGCCTCCAGCTCCATCCGTGTTCCTGCAAAGGTTAGGATCTCATTCTCTTTTATGGCTGCATAGTACTCCATGGTGTATATATACCACATTTTATTTATCCAATCTGTCATTAATGGACACTTAGGTAGATTGCATGTCTTTGCTTTCATGAATAGTGCTGCAATGAACATAAACGTGCATGGGTCTTTACGGAAGAATGATTTTTATTCCTCTGGGTATATACCCAGTAATGAAATTGCTGGGTTGAATGGTGTTTCTGCCTTTAGGTCTTTGAGGAATTGCCATACTGTCTTCCACAACAGCTGAATGAACTTCCCTCCCAGTAACAGTGTAAAAGCGTTCAATTTTCTCCTCAACCTCACCAGCATATGTTGTTTTTTGACTTTTTAATAATAGCAATTCTGAATGGTTTAAGGTATCTCATTGTGGTTTCAATTTGCATTGCTCTAATGATCAGTGATATTGAGCTTTCCTTTATATGCTTGTGGGCTGCGTGTATGTCTTCCTTTGAGAAGTATCTGTTCATGCATTTTGCCTACTTTTTAATAGGGTTGTTTGTTTTTCTCTTATAAATTTGTTTAAGTTCCTTATAGATGCTGGATATTAGACCTTTGTCAGATACATAGTTTCCCAATATTTTCTCCCATTCTGTAGGTTATCTGTTTACTTTGATAGTTTCTTTTGCTGTGCAGAAGCTCCTAAATCTAATTGGATCCCACTTGTCAATTTTCGCTTTTGTTGTGATTGCTTTTGTTGTGTCTTTGTCATGAAATCCTTGCCCACTCCTATGTTCCGGAATGGTATTGTCAGGCCTCTGAGCCCAAGCTAAGCCATCATATCCCCTGTGACCTGCACGTACACATCCAGATGGCCAGTTCCTGCCTTAACTGATGACATTCCACCACAAAAGAAGTGAAAATGGCCTGTTCCTGCCTTAACTGAAGACATTGTCTTGTGAAATTCCTTCTCCTGGCTCATCCTGGCTCAAAAGCTCCCCCACTGAGTACCTTGTGACCCCCACGCCTGCCCGCCAGAGAACAACCCCCCTTTTCCCTTTACCTTCCCAAATCCTATAAAACAGCCCCAGCCCATCTCCCTTCGCTGACTCTCTTTTCGGACTCAGCCCGCCTGCACCCAGGTGAAGTAAACAGCCATGTTGCTCACACAAAGCCTCTTTGGTGGTCTCTTCACACGGACACACATGAAAGGTATTGCCTAGGTTGTCTTTCAGGGTTTTTATAGTTTTGGATTTTACATTTAAATCTTGAATCCATCTTGAGTTGATTTTCTTATATGGTATAAGGAAGGGTCCAGCTCCAATCTTCCACATATGGCTAGCCAGTTATCCCAGCACCATTTATTGAATAGGAAGTCTTTTCTCCATTGCTTGTCTTTGTCAGCCTTGTCAAAGATCAGATGGTTGTAGGTGTGTGGCCTTATTTCTGGGCTCTCTATTCTGTTCCATTGGTCTGTGTGCCTGTTTTTGTACCAGTACCATGCTGTTTTGGTTTAACTGACAAATAATAATTGTACATATTCATGGAGTACATAGTGATGTTTCGATACACTCAATGTATAGCGGTAGATCAGGATAATTAGCATATCCATCACCTAAAACAGTTATCATTTCTTTGCTTGGGGAACATACAAAATTATAGCTAGATAGGAGAAATAAGTTCTGGTGTCCTATACCACTGTCAGATGACTATAGTTAATAAATGGTTTCAAATAGCTAGGAGTATGACATTGTACGTTGTACACATTTCTTAACAAGCAGCACAGGAAAGTGTCTTGCAAGTCACGTGAGCCCAGCAAAAAAATAATTGCAGTCCAGTCCCCCACCTCTTCGGGTTGCATCCATACCTCAATCCTGCATGAATTCCAACAAATATTTGTGGAGTATCTACTATATGCCAGGTGCTGAACTAGGAACTAAGAAAACAAAGGTGGAAAGAAATGCTCTGCACCCTCTGGGTCTTCACAGCCTAGCTGCCAACTTGTCGTGCAGACAAAGGTGAACCAAATCACTTGGGGAACACGAGGCATGAGCAATTTACTTGGTGACACTCGGGGAAGCTTAGCAGCATTTGTCACATATGAACTTGGTGCATCAAGGCAAGTGTTCAACACCTACTTTGTGCCAGATGTTCTCCTGGACCTGTACAATCTTCTTTCTCCTTCTGCCCCCTTAGAAGTGAATATTTCTTGTCTACTTTCATGACCCCAGCTACCATCTATTTCCTTAAAATTTTCCAAACCTCAGTGTATTACCTGGAAGCTGTGGACACATTATTAAAACAGGCAGGCAAGGTCTCTACCTCCAAGATGCTTCTGGTCCAACGGGCGACCAGTAGGTGTGATCCATGTAGGAACTGCCGTGTCAGAAGTATCTTCACATCTCTTGGCACCAGCATCTCCTGAGCCTTGTGCAGCTTGCTTCACCTCTGCCACTGCCATGGCCAGCTGGACCCTCTTAGGCCCATGCAGTTCTGCTCCTGGGGCTGACCTGTCACCTGTCCTGAGAATGTGGGTGTCTGTCCTCTGGCTGCCAGCCAGCCACGTGCTCTGAGTGGATGTCTCCTGTAGACATTTCCAGACTTTAGTTAAAATGCCGTCATTCTGGTCTTGACATCCGACTTCCAAGGGGTGAGCTAACAAAACCCAGGGAGTGAAGCAGAGCAGGAGAGGAGACACATGCCCTCTGCTTCCCTGTGATTGTTCTCTGCAGTCATCTCAGGGAATCCTGTCCAAGCTGTGCCAGGTGGCGTGTGGACGCTCCTGCCCGGTGACCAGCTGTGTCCCTCGAAGCACATGAGGAAGCAGGAGCCAACAGAGCAGCCCATCACTGTGCACAACGACTCCTCTCTCCCCATCATGCAGGTCAGACCTCCTGAATAAAGCACTGGCACTAGATCCTTGCATCACTTTGTTTTGTAGGGAACCACAGCTGACATGACAATTATAAAGTATGAGTCGTTCTTTGAAAGAAACCAATGGAAAACCCTTCCCTGACCATTGCCTTCCCCAAGGAGATGCTCTCTAGGCTGAGTCTTGAAGGAGGAGAGGATGTCACCAAGAGTCCTAGCAAGGTTGAAGAGCTCTCCTAATGCTGGAGGTGCCATGTTCAAAGATCCAGAGGATCGAGCAGCCTGGTAGGCTCCTGGAACCATCAAGCCAGTGTGACTGGAGCAGGGAGAAGATGCCCTGTGGTCTTGCTGTCCTTGGTGTGCTGGTGAGCGTAGGGTGAAATGAGACCAGGCAAGGCCTCCAGTACCAAACTTGTTCCCTAGAATCCCACCTTGTTGTGGATCTTCCTACTCTTTACCCCAACCCACCCCTGCATCCCCCCATAAAAGTTCTATGATCTTCGTCCCACTGCTTGCCTGCTCTCTGATTTCTAGTGTAAATTCATCCAGGTTAGTTTCTTGTTGGATAAAATTATGTTACTATAACATCTAATTCCAGGAGACACAGCCATCATTTCATTCAAATAGTACGTATTTATTAAACACACAGTGAAAGAGGGCTGTGTTACACAGATACAAGGCAATAGAAGACTTTCCAGGAAAAAGCCATTGAATTCAAAAGAGCAACCTCAATGGGAGAATATGAGCCATTGGAGCAGATACTTTGGAGGAAAACAGCCACATACTCACATATGCTGAGTCTGCCCCAAAAACCTCTGTGCCCCACTCATTCCTGCATTCTTCCAAGGCCCAGTCTTGTCCCCTGGTTGTTATGGATTTTCTATATCTTACTTATCTCCTTTATTTAAAAAAACAAAACCAAACTCTGTAGACTCTTGATTTTGTTTCTAGACAACTTGGACCAAAAGTTGACTGCCTGGTTTGGGTATCATGGGGTCTCCTGTCTTTTCTTCTTGTTCAGATCATGAATAGCCTCTTGGCCCTGCAGAGAGATTTGGATTTTATATTGACCCAAGTTAGAATAGAATATGTTGCAGGAGACAGTGATGAGGCCTCAAAGGAGGCAGGTGCAGTGTAGATAAAAGGAAGTTGCCTTTGTAATCACATGTATGATGGAAGCATTCATTAACAGATAAAAATATTGGCTGGGTGCAGTAGCTCACACCTGTAATCCCAGCAATTTGGGAGGCTGAGGCAGGTGAATCACGAGGTCAAGAGTTCAAGACCAGCCTGGCCAACATGGCAAAACCCTGTCTTTACTAAAAATACAAAAATTAGCCGGATGTGGTAGTACATGTCTATACTATTCCAGCTACTCGGGAGGCTGAAGTCAAGAATCACTTGAACCTGGAAGGCAGAGGTTGCAGTGAGCTAAGCACTCCAGCTTGGGTGGCAGAGACCATCTTAAAAAAAAAAAGAAAAGAAAAGAAAAAAAGAAACCACTTTAAAATAAATTACCTGGCCTCAAGCATTCTGTTACAGCAATACAAAATGGGCTAAGACAGAAAATACTTAAAGAAGAGGGTACTGATTGAGGTTGAAGTGCTTGATAGACATTTGATTGAAGATTTAGTAAGCAGTGAGCAGTTTGAGCCTTGCGTTCTATAAGAAGGTTCCAGGTAATACACTGAGGTTTGGAAAACTGTAAGGAAATAGATGGTAGCTGGGGTCATGAAGGTAGACAAGAAATATTCACTTCTAAGAGGTAGAGGATAAAGAAGATTGTGCAGAGAATTCCAGGAAGGAACAGCTCATAAATGAGAGGAAAAGGAGGATGGCTGTGGCCTGGGAGCTGGAAGAGATGTTCTCTGGAATAGTAAGCAAAAAAAAAGAAAATCAAAACTACATTGGATTTAACAACTGGAGGGCACCAAGAACCTTGGGTAGGACCATTTTAGAGGAATGTCCAAAGGCAGAGTACTATGGGCTGGTGAGGAGCAGATGTGGACCGAGCAAGAGCAAAGGATAGCAGATGTGGTCACTTTTCCATCTGGAAGGCGGAGAGGAAGGGAAGGAAGGGGAGAGTGCATGCTATGGGCAGACTAACAGGATCAGAGGGTTATTTTCCAATGATACTGGAGAGATTTCTCTAGCATAGGGCAGAGTTTTCTTTCTTTCTACTATGCCCTGGGGATGTACTGAATCCATCCTCATGCCAAGCAAGGATAATAAAAAAGGAATCTTTGATAAAATAGAGAGAAATACAGCCTCAATGAATAAAATTACACTACGAATATGAAGGAAAGAAAACTTGGTTTCTCTTGCAGCTGTTTTCTTTTGGGGCTGGACCATGAGGGGCCATTTTCCTCTGTTGTCTCCCTCCCTCCTGCTTACCAACTGGCAGGAAGGGGAGGAGGTGGCCATACCAAGGCAGGGCAGGAGATAATCCACAGCTCAGGCTCCCAAGGTGGCAAGAGAAAGAGGGGTCAGAGCTAGACCGGAGGACACCATGCCCTGAGGCAGGAAAGGAGACCAAGTGGGGGGCTGGTTTCTTTGGGGAGCCAAGGGAAGGAGGATGCTGCTTGCAAACAGGCTCTGCTTTCTTTATGGAGTAAGAGGCAAGGCTGTTCTGTGAAGGTAGCAGAAGGAGGTTTGAGAAACGTGATGAAGTCTGGAAATACGGATGGGAAGGTGCTAGAGGAATGATTAGAAACAGGAAGAGCAGGCCTCTCAAAATCTGATAAGGCACTGTTTCATTTTAGCTTGAGTCCTTTTCCCCAGCAGTGCACAGTGGCACTGGGATAAAGCCTTTGGTCCCCCAGGCAGGGCAGGTGAACAGCAGATAGGAAGGGAGGTGAGAGCAAAAAGGACAGGGTAGAGAAGCGTGGCTTCAATAATGGATCACGTTGGGAGAAGGAAGAGGCCGGTGGAGGAAGGGGAGGGGCTGGGCAAGCATGGACCACACATGGGTGAGAGCTTGAAAAGGGAAAACTGGAATCAAAGCCTGAGAGGAGGCCAGAGTCTAAAACTTCCCCTCTCACTCTCATTTCCATAAAACATTCTTATGGTAGAAGTTTCTGGAATTTTCAGTTTAGTGTCTGGGCAATCCATGTAATTGCTTCATTTACAACTTTATGGAGACATGCTGAAATTTGGGAATTAATGGCTTGTATTTCAGCATCCTCACAGACTAAAGATTTAGCTATTTCCTGTAAAATTTCCCTCCTTTGTTGATTTCCTTCTTCCATGGAGACAGGAGATCAATTCTGCTTCACTTGCCTTAGGGATGATAACAATCAGGTATGAACCAGGCCTGGCATTTAAAAAGTCAGTGATGGATTTCAGGACATCAGGGTGAGGGGGCCAGTCTCCTGAGGGCCCTAACTTTCCAACTTTCATCCAGCCAACAGCCATTTCTAGCAACATCCCCATTCAACCTTAGGTGGGAGGAGTTAGTGAGTTGAGTAGGGGGTTGCCAGAGAGGTGAAGCCAATACCATCAAAATTCCAGAGTGGGATTTTAAATTTACATACGCCTACTACCTTGGTCTATTCAGGCTGTTATAACAAAATATCATAGACTGGCAACTTATCAACAACAGATATTTCTTACTGGAGGCTGAGAAGCCCTAGATCAAAGTGCCAGCAGATTCAGTGTCTGGTGAGGACCACTTCCCGGTTCATGGATGGTACCTTCCTGCTGTGTCTTCACATGGTGGAAGAGCTCTCTGAGGTCCCTTTTATAAGGGCACTAATCCCACTCATGAGGGCTCCACCCTCCTGTCCTAGTAAACTCCCGAAGACCTTACCTCCTAATACTGTCACTGATATGGTTTAGATGTTTTGCCCCGTCCAAATCTCATGTTGAAATGTGATCTCCGATTTGGCAGGTGGGCCTAACAGGAGATGTCTGGGTCATGAGGGCGGATCCCTCGTAAACAGCTGGGTGCTTTCCCCACAGTAATGAGTGAGTTCTCATTCTATGAGTTTATGTGAAATCTGGTTGCTTAAAAGAGCCTGGCACCTCCTTTCTCTCTCTTTCCCTTCCCTCTTGCTCTCGCTCTCCCTCTCTCTCTCGCCATGTGATATATTAGCTCCTCTTCCCCTTCCACTATGATTGTAAGCTTCCTGAAGCCTCACCAGCAGCAGATGCTGCACTATGCTTTCTATACAGCCTACAGAACTGTGAGCTAAATAAGCCCCTTTGCTTTATAAATTACCTAGGTATTCTTTATAACAATGCAAATGGACTAATACAATGACCTTGGGGCGTAGGATTTCAACATGTGACTTTTGGGGGCACATGATCATTCAGTCCATATACTTAACTTTCCATTTCCCCTAGGAAGCTGATGTAGCTATCTGCTAACACCCACCTTCCAGGTGAGGACCACAGCTCTAATCCCAAAACATTCAGTTTATAAGCGAGTGAACCGAGATTCAGACAGACCAAGTGACTTCTCAAAGTCCTATGACCAGCCAGTAAGAGAGCAGCAATAGAAACCAGGCCACCAGATTCCCTGCCAGCCTCAGGCCATCTCTACCATCACACAGTTCATGCAACCAACCTTCTACCCAGCAGTATGTGGGGAGGATGAAAACATAATAAAGGCTTGGGTTTGTAATCATCTTCCTTGCGCACTCAGAACACATTGGAAGCAAGTGTGATGAAAGCCCCTCCTCCACATCACTGGCTCCTTAGCTGCAGGTGACACTCCCTGGCCCAGCCATCCATCAGGGCCTTGTGTTTTGCCTCACAACAAAGTGGCTCCCCTATGGACCTCTCCCAGGATGGATGCATTTTATTCCCAGGAATCTTCTGCATCCTAAGGGGCTTTGAACAGTCAAAGGCTTCAGGGAGCTAGGAATAGGACTTCCCTGCATGTAAAGGAACTGCGGGTCATAGAGGCAGGGACCAGGTTTGAGCCAGCCATGTCCTTTTGTAATTCAGATGCCTGGAACTGGCACAGCTCTGGAAGCTCACAGGCTCCTAGAACTTAAAAAGCATCTCTGATCTGGGCAGTCTGCTGTTCAATGCCTCCTAATCTGCTCCTTAAATATGGCTCCATTCATAAGGTGAGCATCCACTGAAAACAGAGGGAAAGACTTATTCATTCTCCTTGGTCTGTCTTCAAGGGCAGTGACTCTGCACCTACTGAATAAAGCCATGCTTTCATGCAGAGCATGCCGCAATCTGGCCACAGCATGCCTTTAGCTCACTCTCTCACTTTCTCTCTCCTCTCCTCCCCTTTGCCTTTCTCTCTGTCTCTCTTTTTCTTTCCTTTCCAAGCTCTATTCAGAGGCTTCAAGTATGCACTGCATATTCTTTCCTTGAGGCATTTGCTTCTATGCCTGATACAGATCAAACACACAATAGGCATGTGTTGGGCAAATAATTTTGAAAATGAATGAATGAATGGTGTGATTCTGTCTGCCTAGAAGATTTCCCTCCTTGTCCTCACTAATTCCAAATCCTTACTCTCCTCTTACTTCATCGAGCTCTTCTCAGAACTCACACAACACTCATTGCCCAAACCTCTCCTTTGACCTCTTTCCTGTGTTACTACACACACCACCAAGTGTGTCCTCGTATGTCCTTGTGTTCCCTGTGCTTTGCTGGCATGATATAAGTTGTTGATTAGTTTATTCCACTATTTTCTACAATTGTTTACTATGTAATTCGTCTCAATAAATATAACATCTATGCCTTGCTTTACAGCTTATAGTGTTCTTGGCCTTGTGTTACCCCAAGTGGTACCTATAACAATGATGATGAGTTAGAGATCGGGACCCCATTGACCCAACAAGACAACCAAGGCTCCCACAAGGAGCTGTAGATGATGAAACAGACCTCCAGAGGCAAAATCCACTGCCCCTTCCACTGGTCCAGTGCTGCCAGATCAAGCCTGTTAAGGACAGACGGTCACTGTGATGATTAATTCTGCATCAACTTGACTGGGCCAAAGGGTGCCCAGATAGCTGGTAAAACATTATTTCTGGGTGTGTCTGTGAGGGTATTTCTGGAAGAAGTTAGCATTTCAATTGGTGGACTTGTTACAATAGGTATTTAGGCAGACATAAGCAGGGCAGGAGAGTCTCCCCCCAACAACCAGGAATGTTAGGCAACCATCAGGTGATGGCCAGACAGTTGTTAACTGTCTCTCTAAAATAACTTTTGGGCATGGCTGGCACCAGGGAAAAGCAGTCTCCCAATAAGTAGAAAACACCTGAAGCTGGTGATCAGCCACTTCCTGACAAGATCTCAGGAGGTGGGCGAGTAGGCTAAGCATGCACACCAAGAGGAAAAATGGTGGAGTTTAACTGCTATGTGACCTTCCTCTAGGAACACTCAACTGGTAAGGGAAGAATGCCTCAAGCAAGCATGTGTACAACTTCAGTAAACACACTGCACATGAGGCCCCTCCCAGTGCTGGCAGGCCATCGCTCATGCGAGATAGCTCACCCCAAGGGAAGAATCCCAGGAGAACTGACGCAGACCACAGAAGTGTACCAACATACCAAACCCCAAGCCAAAGGTCAAACCGGGCACTTGAATCTCTCAAGTCACTTGCTTGGCCCTCTTCCAAGTGTTCTTTATATCCTTTTGTTCCTGCTCTAAAACTTGCCTCAGTCTCTCACTCTGCCTTACGCCCCTCGGTCAGTCTTTCTTCTGAGGAGGCAAGAACTGAGGTTGCTGCAGACCGTATGGATTTGCCGCCACTAACAGACTGAATGAAAAAGATCGCCCTCACCCATGTGGGCAGGCATCCTCCAATCCTTGAGGTCCCAGATCCAACAAAAAGGCAGGGGAAGAGTGAATTTGCTCTCTCTGCTTGAGCTGGGACATCCTTCCTTTCCTGCCTTCAGACATCAGCACTCCTGGTATAGGACCAGGACTTCACCATCAGCCCCCTGGCTCTTAGGCTCTCAGACTCGGGCTGCAACTACACCACCAGCTTTCCTGGTTGTCCAGCTTGCAGACAGCAGATCAAGGGACTTCTCGCCTCTGTAATCACATGAATCGGTCCCTCATCATACATCTCTTTTTATATATCTGTATGTCTATCCTATTGGTTCTGTTTCTCTGGAGAACCCTGAGTATCTCAGTCCCCCTAGACCCAGGCTCAGTGACCTTGCCAGAGTTTTGCCTTCCCTCCAGGCCTGCCTGAGCCAGGGGTTCTCAGCAGTGAGTAGATGCCTCATGGTTCCCAGACAACTGGGTCATCAATAGCACATTCTTGATCTGTCCCCTGAGTTAATTCCACCTTCCCTTCTCTCCAAGGGTTTGCTCCCAGCTGGGTGTAATTATTAGACACTTTGAAACTAGTAATTATTCTAGTAAATATATTTTATTCTTATTTGTACATGAAGCAGAGGGTGGAAATCCTGGATTCCCATATTGTATTAATTGCTTCACCTGATTAAGTTTTAAATTAGATGACGTTTTGCACTAGTTGGATGGAAGGCAGAAATAAATGTGCCTCAGATGTTCAGGTTTGATTATAGCTGGATGGAGAGAAGGAGAAAGAAAAGGGCATAAAAAATGACATTCATTTATACTGGCTTTAGTGAGCCTCTCAGAAAAGGGGCTCCCAGTCATTTTTATCTAGAATCATCCTAGGTCACAAAGGAGTTGGAGCAGCAGCTCAGGAATCCTGGTCTTTCTTCAGTTTGGTACATGAGAGTACTGGGTGCCTTGGGGGTTTGGGTGATAAGGGGAGTCTGAACCATAGAATGATTAAGAACCGGACCCCAATTAAGCTTCACTTTTTTTTAGGTCTGGCTTCTTCTTCTTCAGTGTTTTCATTTGTGCCTAGAGAGGTGAGGGGAAATGTCACTTTGTGCTCATGTCTCTTCCAGAAGCAACCTGAAACAGTGCCTGGCTTGCTCAGTTTGTATCCACCTGTGTCTTACTGGAGCTCAACATGCATGGACCTTGCCTCTAGAGAAAGCCTACTTCTCTAGAAGGTTCCATGTGTATTCAACCCATTCTATTTACCTGTCTCTCCCTCTAGCTTTCAAGGCCTCCAGAGTAGAAGGGGAAGAAATCAGACTTTCTTCCCTGCCCTGGGTGTCCCAGAGTGCTGATGATTTTGTCAGCAAATGAACAGAATGGAGGTATCATTCCCTGGGAACTTCCAGGGGCTCCCAAGTGCTGGATCTGGAAACAAGGGTCACCAATTTGATCTTTATTTACGTATTTAATTATTTTGAGACAGGGTCTTGTTCTGTTGCCCAGGCTGGATTGCAATGGTGTGATTATAGCTCAGTGCAACCTCCAACTCCTGGGCTCAAGTGATCCTCTTGCCTCAGCCTTCCTTCCAAGTAGCTGAGACGGCAGGCACACGCCACCATGTCTGGCTATTCTTTTTTTTTTTTTTTCTGGTAGAGATGAGGTCTCACTGTGTTGCCAGGCTGGTCTCAAACTCCTGGGCTCAAGAAATCCTCCTGCCGAATGGCGGGAACCCGGGAGGCGGAGCTAGCAGTGAGCCGAGATGGCGTCACTGCGCTGCAGCCTGGGAGACAGAACTAGACCCTGTCTCAAAAAAAAAAAAAAAAAAAAAAGAGATCCTCCTGCCTTAGCCTCCCAGAGTGCTGGGATTATAGGCATGAGCCACTTCACCTGACCACAGGTCTCCAGTTTTAAAAGCCTATGCCCAGCAGGGGGTTTATCTTCTTTTTCACCTGTCACTCAACATGCAACTAGCCTTGTTTTCTCAGAGTCAACTTCACACCACAGTAATTTAAGGAAATCTGACAGTGACATATTCATCATCAGAAGAAACAAGACCCAGGCCTTCTAAGGCCGCTTCAGGGCTGGGCCCCATCCCTGCATCTCCCACCCTTGTCAGTGGGACAAGTGTCCTACATTGTATTCATAGCAGTGTTGCGAGATTTTTCCTTAGTTCAGCTAAAGACGGGGTCCTTGTCCCACGGCCACGAAAGATTAGGCTCGCAGACAATTTTAAGGGTGAGTAAGGCAGGGTTTTATTGGGTGAAAAATGAAATAAAGGGGAAAAAGAGACTCTTAGCGAAGCCAGACTCCCTGTCAGTGTGCTTCCCACCTCGCAAACTGAATCGCAGGTGCCACACAGGAAGGGGAGGGGCCGGGCTCCTCCCCGTCAAACAGCACAAACTTCTGTGGCTCCACTCCAGGGTGCACTCCTTCCAGTGTGCAGGCTGGTTAGAGTTTCTCTGGGGACCCCTTCCCACCTGGCTGTCTCCGCAGTGAGCATTTCTTTTTGCTTGGGTGTTTTCACTCACCTTTCTGTTTGGTTTTCTCCTGTTCTGATAAATCTTTCCATTTCCCTATTGAGATGGTGACTAGCCTGGTATAAGCACACGTATCACATCACTCACAGATCTCCATTTGTGGGGTGTGCCTTCTCACCAGGAATGGACCTCTGGGCGTGGGGTGGTCCTCCTGCTTGGAGATCATGTGCGTTTACTTTGCAATGCACTACAAGTAATCCAGGAAACTCTAAACCCCTGGGGAGCCTTTGGGTTGCTAAAGTCTTTCATTGGCCGGGCCTGATTAATCTCAGATCCAATCCCTGATTTCTACTGGGCTCATCCTTTGCTTACAGAACACCTTATGGCTCTTTTTTTTTTGAAACCCCCTTCTGAACCTGAACATTGCCTTAGAATCCTTCCCAGAACTCTGACTATTACAAATTGATTGATGTTGGCCTGGAAATTGAAACCTGTTCACCTCCGTTAATGTAGCCCATTTAATAGTGGAAGGGCTCAATCACCATGGTTGGAAAAATTGATTTTAGCGCTATGTGGTATAAAACAGTAATTTTTGCAGTGAGGCAATATGTTATCCAGAAGGAAGGTAAAGGCAGATTAACGTTAGCTTTTGATACATTAGAAGCATATGTTGTGATTCTTAGGGTATTCACTGAAAGAACCAAAACAGATTGCTGCCAAAAACAAAATTTCAACAAACTGAGTTTAAACATCTAATTGGCTTTTATTAATGATTCATGAATTGGGCAGCATCCTGTCTAAAAAAATAGAAAGAGCTCCACTAGGCCTAGCAGAACAGTCAGTTTTTGTAAGGTAACTTGAACAGAAACAAGGAAACAGCTTAATACAGAAAAAGAGGATTGGTTAACATCAGGTTACTTCAGGTTACTTTCTTTAAAGGGCTAAAGCAGAGGAGACTTCCTTATCATGCCAGCTCAGATTGACTGGGCCCTTATAGATTGGTCGTCCTAAATCTTCTGTTTTTTTGGAAAAAACTGGCCAGCTTGGGGATTTTTTCTGTTTTTTTTAAAGTTTCAGTTTGATTATGTGGCACTTAACACAAGTGACTCCATTTTGGTTGGTCTGTAGGGGCTTGGCACAAGAGCTTAGCTCAAAACAATGGCCTCCCATACATTTTATTTAACACTGTATACCCCCAACTAAGAGAGGGAAATTGTGAAAGCCTGAGCATAGGAGAGTAAGCTCAGGTGGGGCCAGAGGTCAGAATGTGAGTAGGCAAACAGGACCATGGGTGGCCCTGTTGTTCTTTGGGATTGAGCGAAGAGTTCTAGGGAACCGCAAAATGTCACTGGACAACCACAGCTTCCCTCGTGCCTGTGTATATGCTTGATCTCCTCTTTGGATGCTGCCCTCAGAGCCCAAGCTCCTATTCCTGTAGCCCAAGGTACCTTCGGCAGGGCAGGTGGGTTGAAGTTGGCATCAGAGGGAGTGTGTGTTCCCAGAACAGTCTGACATCTGGAGAAATTTTAAAGAATTGTCTGCCAGAGGGCTTTTCCCTTGTATTTCCCCCAAGATTTACCAATATCTTCATTTTTTGACCCAGAGATTAGAGCTTAGCCATTACCTCTACCACTCTCACTCCCATCACCATCTCAAACAAGACTAGTCTTAGGCAATAATCCCTAATCATACCAGTTAATAACCAGAGAGAGTCTACATAGCTTTATGAGCAGATACAAAAGAGGAAACCACTCAACAAATGTCTAGTGACCCAGCATGAGTCATGAGTGCCTGCATTTCACTCAGCTAACATTTCCTCAGTGCCTACTATGTCACCTTTGATTACTAGCATTTATTGAGCACTTACTGTCATCCAGACATATTACTCATGTTTTTTTTTTTTTGAGACAGCGTCTTGCTATTGACCCAGCTGAAGTACAGTGGTGCTATCATAGCTCACTGCTACCTCGAACTCCTGGGCTCACGGGATCCTCCTCCCTCAGCCTCCCAAGTGGCTGAGACTACAGCTGCATGCCACCACACTCGGCTAATATTTGTAGGGGCTTTTTTGGTTTTGTGTTTTTGTGTTGTGTTTGTTTGTTTGTTTGTAAAGACTGGGTCCTACAAAATGTTGGACCTGTTAGTCTTGAACCAACCAATGTTGCCCTGACTGGTCTTGAACTCCTGAACTCAACCAATCCTTCCACCTTGGCCTCCCAAAGTGTAGGGCTTATAGGCATAAGCCACTGCGCCTGGCCTATATATGTCTTTGATCCTTCCAATAATCCCGCAGAGTAGTTCCCAATATAATGTCCACTTTACAGGTGAAAAAAACATGACACAGAGGAGTGAAACAACTTTCAGGAGCTAGAAATGGGGCCAGTAAAGGAACAGAGCTGGATATTACACATGCTCTATCTGGCTTCACCTCACAACAATACGTGACAGTTCCCAGGACAGCCTCAGCCCTCAGTGGGCTTTTGGTTTAGTAAGGAAGTAAACAGGTACACTCAAGACTCCAAAACAGGACAGATAGGATGAACAACATAAAAGAATGACAAGCGGTGGAAGAGAAGACGGAGAGACCAGGCAATGATGAGGAAGGGAGTGGTTGTGGAAGGATAGGAAGAATTTGTTTCATCCGTTTCATCAAGAAAGACAGCCACAAAGTTAGTCATGTGAAAAGATGGGACAAGTATGCCAAGAGTAGAAAATAGTGTGAGCAAAGACGTAGATTTAGAAATGAAGTTAAGCTTGGGAAATGGATAGAAAGACTGGTTTGCCTGGAGTGTAATAGTAACACTTATAGTAACAACAACAGTAATGATGATGATGTGTTTTCATACATTGGTGCTGGGAGAATTAAGTGCTGTCTGTACCACTGCACCAGTGAAGAATAACTAGGAGCTCCTGCTGGTTTCTCCTGGACTCTGCCATATGTGTCTTTTGCTTTACTCATTTTAACCTGTATCTTTTCACTGCAACAAACTACAACCATGACTATAACAACAACAACAAAAAGATGATGATGATGACGATGAAAGTAATTAATACTTCCATTGTACCAGGCACAAATCTGAGCACTTTATGTATATTCAGCAATTGAATCCTCACCACAGCCCTATGAGGTGAGTACTATTATTATGCACATTTTACAGATGAGGAAATGAATGCAGACAAGGACAATTACTTGCGTGAAGTCACAGGCTAGATTCAAATCACTGAGATTCAAATCCGGGCAGACTGTCTTGAGCCTGTGTGATCTAAACCACGATGCTTCTGTTGCAGTTAGACAGAACATTAGTGAAACCCACTAAGGAAAAGAATACAGGCTTTGCACACCGGGATTAAAATAACCATTTATTAGTGATGTGACCTTGGGCAAGTTTTTGAACCTCTCTCAATATCAATTTCCGCATTTATCAAATGAACACAACACTACCTACATCAGGGCACTGTGAGGAGTAGAGATATATGTTATCTCTACCAGTGTATACCAGATACACACTTATATACCTGTATACCAGATATATAGGTATATCTGGTATATACTTATATACCAGATAGTACCTGGTATATAAGTGGAAAAAGGATGTAGGAATGACAGATGAAGAAATAAATATCTGATTCAGGAGATGCTGTTAAAGGCCTTCAGCAAGTAACAGGATTGCAGCTGAGCTATAAGAACTATCTGAAAGGAGTTTATTGGAGGAACAGGTTCTTGACTGGAATGCCCAAGACATTCTAGGGAATGTCAAAGTCCTAGGTTTATCTCCTCAGAAATTATAAGTATATCATCTAGGAATTCATCCTATGAAAACAGAGATGTACTAAAGATAAATATATAAGTATGCGTTATTTAAATGCAAACAAATAGAAACAACTGAGATTTTTATTAGATTTTTATTTATTTATTTATTTTTTGAGATGGAGTCTTGCTCTGTTGCCCAGGCTGGAGTGCAGTGGCATGATCTCAGCTCACCGCAACCTCCACCTCCTGGGTTGAAGCAATTCTCCTGCCTCAGCCTCCCGAGTAGCTGGGATTACAACTGTGCGCCACCACGCCTGGCTAATTTTTGTATTTTTAGTAGAGACGGGGTTTCACCATGTTGGCCAGGCTGGTCTTGAACTCCTGACCTCGTGATCCGCCTACCTTGGCCTCCCAAAGTGCTGGAATTACAGGTGTGACCCACCACACCTGGCTAATTAGATCTGGGTTATATAAATGATGCAACGCATATGATAGAATGCTACAAAAAGCATTAAAAATACTATTTTGGAGGACAATCTGATGACTAAATGCTCATAGTAAATTATTAAAAGTAGAAAAAGAAGCAGCCTATAAAAGAGTGTATACAGTATGTTCTTATAAATATACCTAATCTGTGTCCATATGCATTAAAAAAAAGCTATTAAAAAACTGCTAACAGTAATTCTTGGCCAGTGGAATTATGGGTAATATTAGTTACCTTCTTCATCTGTTCTCTATTTTCCAAAATTTTAGAGTGGCTTTATATGTATTACTTTCTATATACAAATTTTTAATTTTAAAATATATTTTAAAATATTGGATATATAGCTTTAAGTGGAAAATTTTAGTAACAATAATAAGTCCACCAGAGAGCTAATGATTGTGAAACATGTTATATCTGGTCAATATGGCAGGTTACTAGATGTTTGGTTTGGTTTGGTTTCCATGTTATTACATGTTAGTTGATTTTGCTTTTAAAATATGGATCCAGAATTTAAAATAAATTAGACCAACTGGAAATACTGAAATCCTTTTTCTTTGCTAAACATTTTAAGAACTGGGGCCTTTATCCTGCTTAGCAAGAGGAGACAGGCATCCCCAGTCAGGGCGCTGGTGTGAAGAGACATCTATAGCCAGGCATCGTTAAGAATGGCAGGAGAATCGCTTGAACCCAGGAGGCGGAGGTTTCAGTGAGCCGAGATTACGCCACTGCGCTCCAGCCTGGGCAACAGAGTGAGACTCCATCTCAACAACAACAGCAAAAAGAATGGCAGGAGAGACATTAGTTCTGCTGCCATGAAAATGGAGGAAGATGTAGGCTTTATCTTACTGCTGGCTTTCTCTCTCTCTCAGAAAATCTTAGTGTCACAGCAGAAAAAAAATATTAAATTATTAAAGTCTGTGCTTAAGAAGCTGAGGTGTTTTATGAACACGACTGTGACCATTAAATCCATTTTACTGTGGTCTGTGATTTTGTTTTCTTAAATTCATGGTGACATGCTACTCTGAATCATGGAGGATGGCAGGCACATTGCTTTAAAAGGTAGTTTCCTTGGTTTGAAAAGTAGCCTAGAACCTTCAGGAGAATGAACAGCAAAGGGAGGATCACCTATCTGGAAAATTACCCCAAAAAGTGGATTTTGGATTTTGTCTCAGTGCCATAGACCTGCACACTTAAACATAGTTAACATGGTAAATTTCATGTTTATGTATATTTTAACACATGCAAAAGTGTTTTTCATAGAGTTTGGATTAAAATCTTTTATCAGATACATGTTTCACAAGTATCCTTTCCCAGACTGTGGCTTGCCTTACCTTATCAGTGTTTTTTAAAGAGAAATATCTTACATTTTGATGATGTCCAATTTATCAGCTTATCATTTTATAGTTGATAGGACAGCGCTTTGTGTCCTATCAAAAGATATTTCGTGCAACATGAGTCACAATCTATTCCTACTTTTTCTTCTAAAAGTTTCTTCTATGGCTTCAGGTCTTAAGTTTAGGTCTATGGTCCAATTTGAGTTAATTTTTATATATGGTCTAAGGTTCATTTTTAGAATGAACTTAGTCCATTTATTAAACAGGCAATCCATTCCCCATTGAATTACCTTAGTATCTTTGCCAAAAATCAATTGACCATATATGTTATGGTCTCTTTCTGGACTCTCCATTTTGTACCTTAGGACTAATTATTGATTTATGTAATTGTCTTTTAAATCAGTTAAGAGGAAAAGGGGCTAAAACAAAAAATACATTTATACTTTATTTTATATTTACCTATGGAGTTAACTTAATTGGTGTTCTTTATCTATCACATGGATTCAAGTCACTGTCTAGTGGTCTTGCATTCTAGCCTTAAGTACTCCCTTTAGTATTTTTTGTAGGACAAGTATGCTAGAAAGAAATTCTCTCAGTTTTTGTTTGTCTGGGAATGTCTTAATTTCTCTTTCATTGAAGGAATGTTTTTGCTGGATATAGAATTCTTGATTGACAGTCATTTTTATTTCAGTACTTTGAATATATCACCCCACTGCTTCTGGCCTTTCTGGTTTACAATGAGAAGTCAGCTGCTACTCTTATTGAGGTATTCTTGTACCTGATGTGTTGCTTGTTTCTTACTGCTTTCAAAATTCTGTCTTTTTGTTTGACTTTCAACAGTTTGATTATGATGTGTCTAGATGTGGCTCTCTCTGCATTTATTCTACTTGGAATTTGTTAAACTCCTTGGATGTGTAGATTAATGTTTTTCATCAAATTTGGGGAGATTTTCTTTTTTTGTTTGTTTGTTTGTTTGTTTTGAGACAGAGTCTCGTACTGTCACCCAGGCTGGAGTGCAGTGGCGTGATCTTGCCTCCCAAGTTCGAGCAATTCTCCTTCCTTAGCCTCCCTAGTAGCTGGGACCACAGGCGTGCACCACCACACCTGACTAAATTTTCTTTTCTTTTTTTTTGTATTTTTAGTAGAGAGGGGTTTCACCATGTTGGCCAGGCTGGTCTGGAACTCCTGACCTCAGGTGATCCACCCACCTCGGCCTCCCAAAGTGTTGAAATTACAGGCATGAGCTACCACGCCTGGCCCAAATTTGGGGAGTTTTCAGCCATTATTTCTTCAAATATTCTTTCTGCCCATTTCTCTCTATCCTCTCCTTATCTGACTCTCATTGTGAGTATCTTGATAATTTTGATTGAATCCCACAGGTCTCCAAGGCCTACCGTTACTGTGGGCCATTTTGTTGTTGTTGTTGTTGTTGTTTTCAAGGTTATTGCAGACATGGCTAGACGGGATGGGAATAGGGAAAGTTAAAACATCACAAAGCTCAATGTTCTTACTGAGATTCAGATGTTTTTCTTGATTGCTATTGAGATGAAGCAAGGACCCCCTCTTAGGGGCCTGGGAGCCCCCTCACCTCCACCCCCCTCAAGCATGGAAATTAAGGAAAATCTTGAGTTCCTTTAAGGGAAATTCCAGGTACCTAGCTAGCCTTGAAAAGTAAATAATAACTTGATAAGCAAGAAAATGATAGTAGCTTGAAAACAATAGCCAAAGAAGTTAGAATCCAGAGATGTTTGGTTCCCTGTGGAAACTAAAGCTAACATCTTAACGTGTGTCTGTTGAGTTGCTTTTCAGAAACCTAGACCCCCACCAAATAGTTCCACTGGCACATGGACCTCAGATGAGAGGAAACCAAGGACTGAACTCTGACCTCTGCTGTTTGTTCTAAATTTCTTCAGGAGGGGCCTGGAGGGAGTCACACCCACAAGCCAGTTAACATTCTTTACTGCTGATTCCAAATTTTTGGACAAAGCTTTGCTTTCTTAACCAATTGCAAATCAGAAAACCTTTGTATCTGTCTATGACCTGTAAGTCCCCACTTCAAGATATCCTGCCCTTTTTGGCCAAAACCAATGTATAACCTCTATGTATTGATTTACAAATTTGCCTGTGACTTTGCTATCCTGAAATCTACCCCTGCCTTTAAAAACTGTCACCTGCAAGCCGTAGAGGAGGTCAGGATTTGAGCACTAGCTGCCTGGTTCTCCTTGCTTGGCACTGTGCAAATAAATGCCTTCCTTTCTACCACTGCAAAACCTCAGTGTGCATATCTGGTTTTGCTGCACTGAGGAAATGGATCCCAGTTTGGTTCTATAACACTACAAGCTTTTGGTTAACTTCCAGAACTGAAAAAGTTGTTCTGACAAATTTTGTCAGCACAGACAACCCCTGATATATAATGGTTCAACTTAAGATTTTTCAGTTTTACAGTGGTGTGAAAGCAATACGCATTCAGTAGAAACCACACGTGGAGTACCCAAGTAACCATTCTGTTTTTCATTTTCAGTACACTCTTCAACAAATTACATGAAATATTCAACACTTTATTATAAAATAGGCTTTGTCTTAGATGATTTTGCCCAACTGTAGGCTACTATAAGTGTTCTGAGCATGTTTAAGGTAGGTTAGGCTAAGCTATGATGTTTGGTAGGTTAGGTGTGTTAAATGCATTTTTGACTTACATTTTCAACTTACAATGGATTTATCAGGACGTAACCCCATCATAAGTCAAGCAGTCATCTCATTGTCCTGGAGGAAAGAATTTTCAGAGGCGCTTACTCTGCCATTCTGGCTGACATCCTGTCCCTTTGATCTATATGTCTATCTCTACACAAATACCTTTCCTGAATATTGCATAGCAAATCTTAAATTAGATAGTGTAAGTATTCCAACTTGGTTCTTATTTTTCAAAATTGTTTTGTCTATTCTAGGTTATTTGCATTTCCATGAAAATTTTAGGAATGGCTTGCTATTCTAGGCCAGGTGCAGTGGCTCATGCCTATAATCCCAGCTCAAGACCAGAATGATATAGTGAGACCTCATCTCCACAAAAAAAGAAAAAGAAAGAAGAAGGAAGGAAGGAAGGAAGGAAGGAAGGAAGGAAGGAAAGAAAGAAAGAAAGAAAGAAAGAAAGAAAGAAAGAAAGAAGGAAGGAAGGAAAGAAGGAAAGAGAAAGAAAAGAGAGAGAGAAAGAGAGAGAGAAAGAAAGAGAGAAAGGAAGAAAGAAAGAAGAAAAAGAAAGAAAGAAAGAAAGAAAGAAAGAAAGAAAGAAAGAAAGAAAGAAAAGAAAAGAAAAGAAAAGAAAGAGAACAAGGGTTTGCTATTCTAAATGTCTACCCAGGGAATCTGCTGGGATTGTGATTCTTGTGATTCAGATTCTACAAATAAATTTGGCAAGAAATGACATCAAAAACTACTGAGTCTTCCAACCTATGAAATATCTCTTCATTTGTTGACATCATCTTTAATTTTTCTCAGCACTCTTTTGTATGAAATAGTTTTCAGTGTACAGGTCATGTACATATTTTGTGAAATATATCACAATATTTTGTTCTTTTGATGCAATTGTAAATATATTGTATATATTTTATATGTATATATTTATATGTATATATTTTAATCTAATTTTCGAATTGTTCATTGCTAGTAGATAAAAATGCAACTCATTTTTATATATTGGCATTGCTAAGCTCACCTATTCTGCTACCATTTTTGTAAATTCATTACTATTTTATACATATATAATCATGTCACATCATTTGTGAATATAATCAGTTTTATTTTTCACTTTTACATTTATGCATATGACTTCTTTTTCTGGTCTTATTTCACTGATGAAGACCTCTGGTACAAAATGAAATAGAAAGGGCAAAAGCAAATATCCCTCCCTTGCTCCAGATCTTAGAGGTGGAACATTCTGTCTTTCATCACTAAGCATGTATCTATCAGGCTGAGAAAAAATTACCTTCTATTTTTATTCCATTTCCCTTCTATTTGTTGAGTGTTTTTAATCATAAATGGGTATTAAATTTCATTAAATGGTCTTTCTATAGAGATGACTATATTTCCTGTCTTTCCTTCCTTCCTTCCTTCCTTCCTTCCTTCCTTCCTTCCTTCCTTCCTTCTTTCTTTCCTTCTTTCTTTCAGACAGGGTCTCACTTTGTCACCTAGGCTGGAATGCAGTAGCATGATCATTGCTCATTGCAACCTCAAACTGCTGGGCTCAAGCAATCCTCTGGCCTCGGCCTCCTGAGTTGCTAGGACTGAAGGTGTACACCACCACACCCAGTTAATTTTTTCATTTTTGTAGAGACAGGGTCTCACTATGTTGCTCAGGCTGGCCTCAAACTCCTGGCCTCAAGAGATCCTCCTGCCTCAGCCTCCCAAAATGCTGGGATTACAAGCATAAACCACCACCATACTCAGCCTAGTTTTTCTTTTTAAATCTGTTAATGTGATGAATTACATTAATTTTTCACATGTTAAACCAACCTTACATTCCTGGTAGAGATCCTACTTCATAATCATGTATTCTGGATTATATTACTAAATTTGATTTGCTAAACTTTTTGTCAAGAATTTTCATTAACTATGTTCTTGAAAGATGTTGGTATGTAATTTTCTTTTCTTCTACTGTCTTTGTATAGTTTTGGTATCAGAACAATATTGTCCTCAAAGAATGAGTTGAAAAAGTTCCCTCCTCTTCTATTTCTGGAAGAGTTTGTGTAGAATTGACATTATTTATATTTTAAATATTTGATAGAATTTAGCTGTGAAGCCATCTGGGCCTGGAGTTCTCTCTCTCTCTCTGTCTCTCTCTCTCTCTCTCTCTCTCTCTCTCTCTCTTTGTGTGTGTGTGTGTGTGTATGTGTGTGTGTGTGTGTTTCAGTAAACTTTTTATCATAGGATAGTTTTAGATTTACAGGAAAGATGTGAAGATAGTATCAAGAGTTTCCATATACTTCATACTTGGTTTCCCCACCATTGATATTTTGCATTGTATATTTGTCACAACTATGACCTGATACTGATGAATTATTATTATTATTATGTTTTTAATTGAGATAGAGTCTCGCTCTGTCCCCCAGGCTGGAGTACAGTGGTGCGATCTTGGCTCATTGCAACCTCCGCTGCCCAGGTTCAAGTGATTCTTCTGCCTCAGCCTACTGAGTAACTGGGACTACAGGTGCACACCACCACACCCGGCTAATTTGTTTGCATTTTTAGTAGAAATGGTTTTTTGTCATGTTGGCCAGACTGGTCTCGAACTCCTGACCTCAAGTGATCCACCTGCCTTGGCCTCCCAAAGTGCTGAGATTACAAGCGTGAGCCACGGAGCCAGGCCTGATGCATTATTATTGACGAAAGTCCATATTTCATTCACCTTTTCTTTTTACTGAATGTCTTTTTTTCTGTTGGGATCGCATCCTGGGTAGCACATTACCTCTGGTCATCACGTCTCTTTTGATTCCCCTTGGTCGTGACAGTTTCCTCACACTTTCCTTGTTTTCGATGACCTTGACAGTTTTGAGGAATATGGGTTAGGAATTTTGTAGAATGTCCATCAGTTGGGCTTTGTTTGATGTTTTCTGAAACTATACTGGGACGATGGGTTTTTGAGAGGAAGACTACAGAGGTAAAGCGCCATTGCCATCACATCACACCACGGTATGCACTATCAACTGGAATCACTGTTGATACTAAGTTTCTCCTGCTGAGGTCAGGCTTGCCAGGTTCCTCCACTGTAAAATTACTCTCTTTATTCTAAGGAAGTTTTAAACTATGTATTTAATTTCCCTAATAAATACAGGGCTATTGATAACATTTCTTCCCAAGTGAGGTTTGTGTCTTTCAAGACATTTTTTCATTTTATTCCATTTGCTGAATTTATTGACATAAATTGTCCACCCCTTTCCCTTATATCTTCTTAATATTTATCAAAGGTGAAGTGGTGGCCCTTCTCTTATTCCTAATATTAGTAACTTGTGTCTTCTCTCTTTATAAATTTTTTTCTTTATCTTTTCATCTCTTATCTTTTTTATGTCTTATTAGTTTCACAGGGGAAGGGTCTTATAAATTTTATTTATCCTCTAACAAAACTAGCTTTTAGGTTTTTGTGGGTTTTGTTTGTTTGTTTGTTTGTTTTGAGACGGAGTCTCACTCTGTCACCCAGGGTGGAGTGCAGTGGCACGATCTCGGCTCACTGCAACCGCCTCCCATGTTCAAGCAATTCTCCTGTCTCAGCCTCCAAAGTAGCTGGGTGCACACCGGCACACCTGCCTCATTTTTTGTATTTTTAGTATAGACGGGGTTTCCCCATGTTGGCCAGGCTGGTTTCGAACTCCTGACCTCAGGTGATCCACCCGCCTTGGCCTCCCAAAGTGCTGGGATTACAGGCATGAGCCATCAGGTCCAGCCAGCTTTTACTATCATTGATCGTTCTTTATTGTTGTTATGTTTCCTATTTCGTTAGTTTCTTTTTAACTATTTACTATTTTGTTTCTTCTGATTAACTTAGCCTTAATTTGCTAAGACTAAGTTTTAAGCTATAAATTTAGTTTCCCTAATACATATAGGGCTATGTGGAGAGCTAGTTCATTCATTTTCAAGCTATCTACCTACATTCGCATAACATGCTACAGATTTCTAAGTACTGTTTTAGCTGCAGCCAACAAATGTTTACATGTTACGTTTTCATTTTGTTCACCCTCAGAGATTCTTCTTTGTTTATTGTATATATTTAAGGTGCAAATAATTTCATTTTTATTTAGTTCAAATATTTTCTAATTTCTCTTGTCATTTCTTGTTTGACTCATGGGGTTATTTAGAAGTATGTAGTTTAATTTCCAAACATTTGGGAGGATTTTTAAGGTATCTTTCTGTAAGTGATTTCTAGTTTAATTCCTTTGTGGTCAGAAAACATACTTCGTATGACTTAAATCCTTTTAAATTCATTGAGACTTATACTATGATCCAGAATATGGTCTATTTTGTTAAATGATTCATATGCACTTAAAAATAATGTATATTGTGCTATTCTGAGATGGAGTGTTACATAAATGACAAGTTGGTTGATAGTGTTGTTCAAATATTCTATATTTTTACTAATTTTATTTCTTCCTGTTCCATCAGTCATTGAGAGAGATGTTGAAATCTCTAACTATAACTGTGAACTTGATTACTTCTTCTTTCAGTTCTATCAGTTTTAATTTCTTTTGAAGCTGGGATATCAGGTTAATACATATTTAGCATTTTGATATCCTCTTGATTACTTGATCTCTTTATTATTATGAAATTATCCCTTTTATCCCACTTAATGTTTTACTGTATTTATATTTTAGATATTGTATTCTTCATCTTTATAAGCTTCACTCATGTCTTTTTATTCTTTCATTTATTGCTTCATTGTATCCTTTTCCTCTACTTTCTTATACAATGGAACTTATTTGTAACCATTTTAATATTCTGATCTGCTAATTCTGTCATCTCTATCATCTCTTTCATTTCTGGGTGTTTCTATTGGTTACTTTGTCTCCTGATAATGGTTCAAATTTTCTTGCTTTTTGCATTTCTAGTAATTTTTTATTGGATCATGAATATTTTGGGATTTACATTTTGGGGGTGCTGAATCTTTTGATTCCTTTAAAAAGTGTTGGACTTAGTTCTGGTAGACAATTAAGTTATTTGGAATCAGTTTGCTCCTTTCAAGCCTGCTATCAAGCATTTCGGGGGCATGTCTGAGTCAGCCTTCAGTCTAAGGCTAATAATTTATCCCAACTAGTAAGATGGTATTTTCCTGTCTTGTGTATTTATTGCAAGGTCTGTCCATTTGGCTAGTGGGAACACAAATTATTCCTGCTTATGTGCGAGCACCAGGAATGTTTAGCCTACTGCCTTGCAGAGTAGTTACCCAGGTCCAGGTAGTTCCCTTTCACACGTGGGCAGGTCAGTGTTCGTCTAAAGGTGTGCCTGGTTTCCTCCACAGGTTTCTTGAGCTATTTCTTGGTGCAGCTCCTTCTTTTTTTCTTCAGTATTCTGTTCCACAAATTCTAACCACTTTGGCTTCCTCCCTCCCACTTCTGATCTCTTTCTCCTGAGCTCAGTGTAATCCTCAGACAGTGTGGGAACTGCTTCCTGCGCTACAGCCTGGAAATTGCCTCCTGGCACTTAGCTGGGGCAACTGTAGGGCTATCTTGTTTGTCACCCTCGCTCAGCAGTCTCAATCTTGTACTGCCTATTGTCCAATTTCTGAAGAAAAAAAACATGATTTCTTATCATTTTGTCCAGTTTTCAAGTTGTGTAAAGTGGGAGGGTAATTCCGGCCCCAGTAGTCCTTCATGGGCAAAAGTGGAAGTCTCAGATGCTCTTTTAACAAGTTTTGTGATAGAGAGCAAGAGAGAAGTAGCTTGAAGGTCAGGCAGAATCAAGTGAATCTTTTTCTTTAAGTTGGAAAAGAGATTTTCTTCTGTAGACAAGAGAGAATGAGCAAAGAATAAATGCCATTAGAACTAAAGTTTGTGATACTTGGTAGAAAGCTTCAAAAAGCTCATTTCTGGTGACATTTATGTTTTGTATATTGTGGGAGGTACAGTCATCCAGTAAAAATGGCATGTGACAAAAGAAAATGGTGAAAGTTTAAAGATCAGCTGGAGGAGGCAGGGAGGGTAAAGTAGAGCTGATTAGGGAAGAAAAAAAAAACACTGGTGACCAGGTGAGAGGGGACATATTGTAAGCCGTAGGTTAGTCATGATGTCCCTCAAAGAAATACGTAACTTGAATGGCAGCACTAAACATGTCTGAAATGATGCCCTTGACCATGAGACCTATAAGACCATGTTCTATAAAACCCAAGGTTCACAGACATTGAGCACTGTTGAAAAGTCATTCCTCTGGGCAGTCTCTAAATATCATTAGAGCAAGGTGCTGCATTTCCAGTCCTGTTCCCAGGTCTGGCTGTAAAGGCTTCCTTAGATCCTTGGCTCTTGTTACTCTATTAAAAACAGAGAAGAGGCTGGGCGTGGTGGCTCACGCCTGTAATCCCAGCACTTTGGGAGGTTGAGGTGGGTGGATCGCCTGAGGTCAGGAGTTCGAGACCAGCCTGGCCAACATGGTGAAACCCTGTCTCTACTAAAAATACAAAAATTAGGGTGGGCTCGGTGGCTTATGCCTGTAATCCCAGCACTTTGGGAGGCCAAGGTGAGCAGATCACCTGAAGTCAGGCATTCGAGACCAACCTGACCGACATGGAGAATCCCAGTCTCTACTAAAAATACAAAATTACCCAGGCGTGGTGGCACATGACTGTAATCCCAGCTCCTCGGGAGGCTAAGGCAGGAGAATTACTTGAACTTGGGAGGCAGAGGTTGCAGTGAGCAGAGATCATGCCATTGCACTCTAGCCTGGGAGACAAGAGCGGAACTCCATCTCAAAAAAAAAACCGAAAAACAAAAATAAAAACAAACAAAGAAGAGGTCACACATGGTCAGATGTGTAGGTCAAAACCACGCCGTCAACCCTTATGAAAGAGTACCCAAGGGCGGAGACTTGGAGCTTTCAAAGAGGCACTGTTAGGACAGTTGACTTCACCTGGGCTGACTAGACCTGAGTCCTTTTCTCTGTGTCTCGTTTGGCTGCCAGCCCTTGCCAGCTTGGGATTTTTGGATTTGCCTACAGTGTCAGTTTCTTACCCATGTTTTGCCCAAATTTTGCATGGCGAGTGTGCTGAAAGACCCCAGCCAGATCCCCCTGTTCCTTTCACTTCACAAGCTAGCGTTTGGCATCCAGCGCATCTGGGTCCCTGTCAGACTTTGTGTGAATTAGTAAAAGCTTCCTTTTATGTGTAGTCCCATGTGAGGGCTTCTAGCCTGGCAGATGGAACCTAGGTTAGATTTTAGCCCTTGCTCACCCCCTTGACCCGCTCCCCGTATAGCGTACAACCCACATGACTGTACACAGCTGGCACAGTGCCCTTCATTTCCTTGCCTTGACTCCCTACCTTCTCTCTTGGCATTAGCAATTAATAGTGACTTTGTCTGCCAGGCAGGCTCCTGACCTCTTAATTCACTGCTTTTTATGTCAGTACAGGTGTCCTTCCAGGTGGTCTCAGTCCCACCCAGGTGTCTGCAATGGTGCCTGACAGCTATCCGCTTCACACTGTTAAGCCCTGAGCCAAGGATGATGATGACACACTGTGTATTAGGAGAAACATCCTCTCTATTGGGGGCATAGAATCTACTGCCACTGTCTTCTATCCAGATTTGCCTGAGGTGACTTGAGTTTCCGGAGCCCCTCATGGGAACAGAGTTGTGGCTTTCCCACACACCCCATCGAGGGCTGTCAGTCTACACAACCAGTCAGGCCTTCTCTCCCGCCATGTCCCTGCGAATCACTCTCATTTCCACCAGAGTCTGGGCCATGATGCCCTGGGAACCCCACACTGATCATCTGTAGCCTTGTTCTGACCCCTTGTCTAGACAGTGCTGGACTTTTCCCTTAATGCGAGGCCTGACTTGCAGGGTCTTTTCAAACTTTACAGTGGTTCTGTTAGAAAGTCTTGGGAGGAGGCCGGGCGCGGTGGCTCACACCTGTAATCCCAGCACTTTGGGAGGCCGAGGCGGGCAGATCACGAGGTCAGGAGATTGAGACCATCCTGGCTAACACGGTGAAACCCCGTCTCTACTAAAAATGCAAAAATTAGCTGGGCATGGTGGCGGGCGTCTGTAGTCCCAGCTATTCGGGAGGCTGAGGCAGGAGAATGGCGTGAACCCAGGAGGCGGAGCTTGCAGTGAGCTGAGATTGCACCACTGCACTCCAGCCTGGGCGACAGAGTGAGATTCCATCTCAAAAAAAAAGTCTTGGGAGGGGAAGAGTCTGAAAGTGGTGGCCAAATTGAAACCTGAAAATGAGGCAGGGCAGTGTTTCTTAAATTGTGTGCTAGGAAATGCTAGTTCCACAGGATGTTTTCTGGAGTAAAAAAGAAAATTGTCTGGCCAAATATGTTTGAGAAATCTGGGCTTAGCAGCAGTTAAACAGGTTCTTCTATTGCAGGACTTCTCAGGGCTTTTGACACGCCAAAATCTCTAATGTACCTGTAAGGGGATTTAGAGTGTATAACGTTTCCCAAACGTATTTGATTACAGAGCATCTCATGATTCAGGTGCTCCACAGAATACTCTTGGGAAAAGTTGGGGTGTGGACCTTTCTGTTCCGTTTCCCGGTATGGTGCTGCTTTCTCAGGTTATTGGGAGGACTGCGGGAGCTCCTCCCTCCTGGGCATCCACTCGCGTTTCTCAGGTGAGGAGTTGCTACCTGGGCCTCTCTGTAATCATGTCAGCTGCAAAGGAAGCTGAGAAACAATCAAGGAAAACGCCTGCTGCGGATGTCTCTGAGTTCCAAGCCCCCTGCACTAGGATCTGATTGATCTCCTCTGTTTAACTTACAGTGTTTGATTTCTCGTGCTTTTGAGCTCTCAAGGCTGCTTTAACAATGCTGTTCTTGAAATATGCTGATAATTTCCTTTGAGACAACTGGCCTGCTCATTTCAAAATGACAGGTTTTCTCTTTCAGTACTTTAACTGTGAGCTCTCTTTGATTGAAGAAGAAAAGTTATCTTCTCAATTCTCATCCCCACATGAAAGAACATGATGGGAAGAAGCCTTTGAATAATGAGCCATGACTTCTACTTCAAACTGCTTGCTCTGTTGATCCAAGTGGAGAACCTCTTTCCATATCAGAAGCCAGTCTTGGCCATCCCCCTACCTAACCTCACTCAGCCTTTAATAAGCAGGTAATGGCATCTGCTTCCAGGGAGGAAGATGCTCCGTGATGACTGGTCTTTAAGGACAGAAGAGTGGGCCAACGTGTTGATGTTTTAGACCATTTGTGTTACTATCAAGGCATACCTGAGGCTGGGTAATTTATAAAGTAAATAGGTTCAATTGGCTCGTGATTCTGCCGACTGGAAGATTAGGCATGTGGTGAAAGCCTCTGGCTGCTTCCACTCATGATGGAAGCTGAGGGGCAGCCAGCCTGTGCAGAGATCGTAAGGCAAGAGAGAACGCAAGAGGTGCGGGGGGAGATGCCAGGCTCTTTTTTACAACCAGCTTTGTGGGAACTCATACAGCAAGGACTTACTCATTACCTCGAGGATGGCACCAAGACATTCCTGAGGGATCCGCCCCCAAGACCCAAACACCTCCCATTGGTCTCCACCTCCAACACGGAGATCAAATTTCAACAGGAGGTTTGAGAGGACAGACATACAACAATAAGGTGAAGATTACTTGGAGAAAGCTGGAGGCCTGAGTCCTCAGCACTGTGCAACTGACAAAGAAGGAGGGGGAGAAGGAGAAAGAGGAAGACGAAGAAGAAAAGAAGAAGAGACGGAGATGTTTGTATTTTTGTAGTCCAAGTTCTTACAGAACAGAGTTCCTGGTTAGGCAAGGCTTTAAACACCCTGAAATCAAGGACTGGTCATTCAGTAACGCTGTCTGCAATGCCTGTGATGCTGGGTATGAGGTTGCATGCAACCATAGTTTGCTGGAGAACAAGAGAGAGATGTATGAGGCAGGGCTTTAGCCCTTCATGACCTTACAGGATAGTAGGAGTGACGGATGGGTACAAGAGTCATTACCATGTAATAAGATATGGGATCTATGTGTGCATGGTGTACTCAATAGTAGAGCAACACTTAGTGGAGAGAGTTTCTGTGGGCTGGGTCTGCAGAAGGCTTTATGCTAGTGGTCATCTTTGAGCGAAACCTTAAGGTTTTACAGATAGTAAAAGCAAGATGTATGTCATGACATTCACTGTGATCTCACCAGTGTCTGTTTCCTTCCACCTCTCCATTGCCTAACAGAAAACCAATTTTAATTCTGGCATCTACCTCTTTCCATCACAGGCTAAGCACTTTTGGAAATGCTTGACTGACCTTAAGCCAGTCAGCACTGTCCATTCCTCTGGCCATTTCATTATTTTGGTGAGAGTACTATATTAATTGTATTTTCTTATTTTCTGTATTCTTGATGCTCTGACATCTAGGTCCTCACTGACTGGAGAGAGACTGCCTCTTCCAGGGCTCAGAGATAGAGTAGCAAAAGGTCCACCCAGGTCTTTCATAGGCAAACTAACAAATCCAGAGCTCATACTCTGAGCCACCTCTCCTATCTGGCTCTTGCACTCCAGGAAGCAATATTCCTGTGCCTTAAATCATCCCAGGGCCTGGTACAGCCAACCTGGGCCAGCCCCTACACTCCAGAGCCCATTGAAATTATTCATACTAGCCAGTCCTAAGCCTGCTTACTGTGCCTTGCCTAACCTTTCCTGTGGAAACCACAGTAAAGGGTCCTGGTCATGCTTTTCCCTCTCTCCCATTGCCCTGAGATCCAATTTGGTGTTTCCGCCTGCACCAGCAGGGATTGCTTCATCTCAGGAACTGTGAGTAACAAACTATCTTTTCAGTGGTGGTCATTGCATGACCTGTTGGCCTCATCATACCTGAATAATAATAAAGCCTACACTTTAAAACAAGTATGACTTAAGTCCGTGCAATCAGGGTAAATTTCTGGGGTCTGCTTGGAATTATGACCCAGAAGCACTCTCTCTCTTCCACTGGATATCAGTGAGGAAAGGTTATGGCCCTTGTTGTACATGGCAGGCATCCAAAAACCACAAGAGGAGCCACCTGAGCTGGACAGAAGACTAGAGAGGCAGACACAGCCTTCTAGGACATCACTGAACCTCCAAGCCACTGACCAACTACACCTGAAGTCCGCCTGTCTTGTCAGTCAACAGAGCTCCCTTTAGGTAGTTTAAAGCCTGTAATACAATAAAGACTATTCAGAGGCTCAGAGAATGGTGGGAAGTAGTCTCTGGGCTGCATTTACAGGGACAGCTTCCAGCTCTTCTTTGCAGAACTGATGTGAAATGGAAACTGTTGCTGCCATCAACCTGAGCAGCCTCTGCTTGGGCCAACGCAATGGATGCCCCTGGCCCTTGTCTTTTATAGCTGGCTTCAAATAGAGTGATCAACTCAGCTCAGGTTACCCAGGACTTTGCCAATTTTAGCACAGAAAGTCTCACATTCAAGACTCCCTCAGTGCCAGGCAAACCAGAATGGTTGGTCACCCTACTTCCCAATAGAAGTTATAGGAGAGTGCAACTGAGTGATAGAATCTATTTCCCCAGCAGCAAGAGGGACTGGGTCTTTTCATTGGAAAGGAGGAATTTACAATGTGGGGAATGACCAGAAATGTGGAGAGGATGTTTAAGCAATTTTGAGCAGTCAAGAATGACAAATGTATTTAATACAATAAAGCATCATACCTAGACTTTCCAGGTCCATGAGCAAGATGAGGCACTTGCAATTGGGCTTGCAACCAGAGCTCCCTACTTGATACAGAGGCTTTCAGCAGCTTCTACTAGAGAGCTGCTGTGCTGAACTGAGAGCGAGTACCCTGGTGTTATTCACAAGAGAATGAGGTCCGATGTCTAGGGCTTTTCTCATAGGATTGCAGATTTACCATATTTTACCTTGTGGTGCCAGGGACAAAGACATGAAAAATAAGCAAATAGATAGGAAGGGGGGCAATAAAATCTACTGTTTATTAAATGAAAGAATGAATTTAATTTTTTAACCCTTGATGACAATGAGCTATGCCACCTTCTTGAGAATGTGGCACCAAAGTCCAGAGGACAAAGTAATAAGACTAGAAGTCCCTGAATACATATCTGAATGAAGTAATGAGGGAGAGGCATAGAAGATGGTGTTTCACGAGTCGTTTATCAAACTGTCTGCACTGCAGCATTCAGCATCTGGACCAGCTCTGTCAACATCACTTGCAGTTGTTGTTGAATCACATGTGACATGACAAGTCCCCAACAGGTCTGGGCTGACAGCCAGCCTGCCTCCACTGCAGTGACACCTAGTGCAAAGCCTGTATTTGGGACTCAGCCTATAAAAGAGGACCACCCACCCCTGTCCACCACCACCACAGTTGCCTGCCACCATTGTAGAACAAACTACAGGAGAATGTCACACATACCCTAGGGGATACGTTCACTCTGCTCTTTGAAAAGTCTTTGCATACACTGTGTTTCAGGTGAGCCCCTCCTATGTCACCTGGAGAGATAGGCAGGATAGGCATTGTGATGTCCATGTTAGAGAAAAGCAAGCTCAGATCCCAAGAGAGTACGACACGCCTGCTGTGATACCGTTTGTCACAGGTAGCTCTTTGCCTTTGATGGGTGAGAGAGGCAAAGAAGGTGGCAAGACTAGTCTCATCTGTTAAATGTCAGTCATCAAAACCAAAGCTGAGGCCAGGTGCTGTCACTCACACCCATAATCCCAGCATTTTGGGAAGCCAAGGTGGGAGGATTGCTTAAGCCCAGGAATTCCAGACCAGCCTGGGCAACATGGTGAGACCCTCATCTCTACAAAAAAAAAAAAAAAAAAAATAGCCAGGTGCAGTGGTGTGTGTCTGTGGTCCCAGCCACTTAGGAGGCTGAGATGAGAGGATGGCTTGAGCCTGGGAGGCTGAAGCTGCAGTAAGCCCTGATTATTCTACTGTACTCCAGCCTGGGTAATAGAGCCAGACTCTGTCTCAAAAAAAAAAAAAAAAATGACAACAACAACAAAAAACCAAAGTTGATACTTTTAAAATATCAACTTTGATATCAACTTTTAAATATTTTAAATATTTTTAAAATATCGACTTTTAAATATCTTAAAAATATTTCTAAATATTCCCCAACTTTGGGCAGATTCATTTCATTCTGTAGCAAATTGGTTTCTGCATTTGGGCTGAACCACTTGATAGACATATACTCTGCAGTTATATATATAATATATATTTTACACTCTATAGTAAGTTGCCTGAAGTGCCCAATATATTCTAAGAACATGAAAGAAACGATACCAAAATAAATTATTTCCATCAGCCCCTTGAAAGTGTCTGAGACCTCACTTATTTCTCTATTGTTCTGCCTCATTCTGTGTAATTGCACTGGATAAAACATTACCTGGTCTAAATTGTCTTGTCAATAGAACTTTCACTTTCTCTTTTTTGTGCCTCTGCTTCTCATACTCCTATAGCCATTCAGACCCTGGCTTTGTTTTCTCTCATCTCTCCTGAGCCCTCGGCTTATGTCCACAGGGACTGGCTCTCTGTGGAGGAGAAAGGACTGGCTCTCTGTGTGGAGATTTCTGGCTCTCTCTTCAAGCTCCCAACTCTGCTCTGTTCTACTCACCCCAGCCCTCACCTTCCAGCAGTGCATCTAGAATGGGCCCTTCTGCCATATTTGCATTCCACGGCTCTCTCATTCAGTCCCCCACTGACCTCCCCCAGCCTTCACTATTTGAAGCAGGGTAGGCATTTTCCTTGATTCCGCCAAGCAGATTTTCAATTCCTAGGATTCTGTAGTTGAGCCTCAGGGATCATTCCTAAAATCTTTTAGGTGGTGAGAGTGAGAAGCCACCTGAGACCAGGCCTGGGAGGGCCAAGGTTGACCTTGTCAGGGCTGCAGTGGAGAAAGCCAGATGTTTTAGATGGCCATGAAGCCAAGGGAAAGAGATCGGGAGGCTCTGAGAGGCCGCGTGGGAACCTGGTTCTTGTGGAGATCCCAGTTCTGGGAACCAGCCCTTTGGAACCTGACCAACTTTCCTGTACTTGCCCTATTTTGCTTAAGCTGGGGAGTTCTGTTTCTTGTACCTCTAATCATGGCTGCCTCCAATCTCACCTTTAATTTGCTGGGAAGCTTTAGCTAACGGCACCTGCCCCACCTTCACTGCAGCTTTATTCTGCCTCTAACTTTACCATGTCAGGAAGAAATCTGATCTAATCTCATCTCTCTGTATTATGGGCTGAACCGTCTCCCTCTAAAAATTCACATGTTGCAGTCCTAACCTCCAGGACCTCAGAATGCAACTGTATTTGAAGATAGGACCTCTAAAGAGGTAAGCAAGTTAGAATAGAATGAGCTCATTAGGGAGGGCCCTACTGCAATATGAATGCTGTCCTTACAAGAAGAGAAGCCCGGGACAAAGATGCACTCCAAGGGAGGACCATGTGAGGACACAGAGAGAAGATGGCCATCTGCAAGCCAAGGAGAGAGACCTCAGGAGAAACCAACCCTGCTGACACCTCAATCTTGAACTTCCAGTCTCCGGAATTGTGAACAAGTAATATAGCTGAGAGCAGCCACCAACTTTTCATTGCTCAGGGAAAAATCTTGGAACCAAACTTACCTCCTTCTTTCTCCCAAACCCTACCTCCCACCCATCAGGAAATACTGCTGGTTCCACCCTCACTGCTGGCTCTTCTCTTCTGCTTGCTCCCACACTGGTCTCAGCACCAGCAAGCGGAAGAGTTTCCCAAAAGGTCGGAAAGACTGCTTCTGCCCCTGCCTTGTGTAATCAAACTCAACACAGCAGCCAGCATCAGATGTGTTTGCTCTTCTGCCCAAAACCCTCCACTCAGAGTAGAAGCTAATCCTGAAAGCACCCTGCAGGATCCTACATTCTCCAACTCACTGTGACCTTCTGACCCAGCTCCGACCTCTTCCTTCTTATTCTCAATTCACCATGCAGGCTGGACAAGCTCTGCCTCAGAGACTTCGCCTGACTGCTTTAGCTCCTGCATGGAAGGCCCTTCTCCCAGGTGCCTGCTTGGCTGATTCTCTCACCTCCCTCTAGTCTGGGCTCAGATAACCCCTGCTCACCATATCCAGGGTGGCCACTGAGTCCGCACTCACTGTCACTCTCCCCTTCCCTGCTCCACCTGTCCTTGTGTGCAGTGTACATGTGACCTTCTAACACACTACAGGGGACCCTTGAACAACATGGGGGTTAGGGCACTGACCCCCTTCGTGGTCAAAAATCCACGTATAACTTTTGACTCCCCCAAGACTTACCTACTAATAGCCTACTGTTGACTAGAAGACTTACTGATAACATAAACAATTACCACATACTGTGTATATGTCTTAAATACTGTGTCCATACAATACAGTAAGCCGGAGAAAAGAAATTATTAAGAAAATCATGAGGAAGAGAAAATACATTTCCTATTCATTAATTGGAAATGGATGATCATAAAGGTCTTCATTCTCATTGTCTTCATGTTGAGTAGGCTGAAGTAAAGGAGGAAAAGAGGAGTTCTTCTTGCTGTCTCAAGGGTGGCAGAAGATCCACATATGAGTAGACCTCATGTGGTTCAAGGGCCAATTTGTATTTACTCTACCTACTCATTGTGTTGAATGCTTACTGCCAGTCCCTCCCTTCCCCATCCACCACTGCACTACAGTAGGAACCCCAGGAGGGCAGGGACCTAAGTCTGGTTTTTTTTTGTTTGTTTTGTTTTGTTTTTGGAGACAGAGTTTCGCTCTTGTTGCCCAGGCTGGAGTGCAGTGGTGTGATCTCGGCTCACTGCAACCTTAGCCTCCCAGGTTCAAACGATTCTCCTGCCTCAGCCTCCTGAGTAGCTGGGATCACAGGCATGTGCCACCATGCCCGGCTAATTTTGTATTTTTAGTAGAGACGGGGTTTCTCCATATTGGTCAGGCTGGTCTCGAACTCCCAACCTCAGGTGATCCACCCACCTCGGCCTCCCAAAGTGCTGGGAATTACAGGCATCAGCCACTGTGCCCGGCCTGGTTTTTTTTGAGACAGAGTCCACCCTCTCACCCAGGCTGTAGTACCAAGGCACAATCTCAGCTCACTACAACTTCCACCTCCCAGGTTCAAGTGATTCTCGTGCCTCAGCCTCCTGAGTAGCTGGGATTACAGGGGTGTACCACAACACCCGGCTATTTTTTTTTTTTTTTTTTGTATTTTTAGTAGAGATAGGGTTTCAGCATGTTGGCCAGGCTGGCCTTGAACTCCTGACCTCAGGTGATCCACCTGCCTTGGCCTCCCAAAGTGTTGGGATTACAGGCGTGAGCCACCGCACCCAGTCTAAGTCTGTTTTGTTCCCTGATGTAACCCAAGTTTCTAGAACAGTGCCTGGCACAAAGCAAGCGCCTAATAGAGAATGGCTGATGGAATAAATAGAACTTCTCACTAAAGTCCACCCATTTCCTTAAGTCTGGGGCTATGGGGGCGTCTTTAACCATGAGTCTCCTTTCCTGCCTAAACCTTCCCACTCAAGTCCAGCTGCTGCTGCTTCCCAGCCAGCTCTTGTTTGATTCCTCCCTGCTCCCTCAGAGACCTGACTGGAGCTCAGATCTGCCCCACCCCATCCAGCTGCAGAGCATGGACTCGTCCCCTTACCCCAACAGGTCCTGAAATCACCTATTAATCTTTTAAAATGTTGCTTTTATCCTACCACTCCCTTGCTCTAAAAAACCCACCACCCCTCTGTCAGCTGTTGGATCAAGTTCAGGTATAGCAGCCTGAGAGCCAAGCTCTCAGATCCAGGGCCTATCCTCCTCCACCACAGCTGTCTGCGGTCGAGAACGCCTCCCAGAATGCTCACCCTCATGTCTGAACCATACCCATCCTCCAAAGCCCAACTCAAACCCTCCCCTCGACCCTTCCTTGGAACTCCAGCCCACACCGATGGGTCCATTCTCTGACTTCTCCCCACAACAATTGAGGGCAGCTCCTGATTTAAAAGTTGGATTAATGCAGCAGGAGATTAAGGACAATAAACCTTTTATCATTTGGAAATCCCCAAGAGATTTTGATAGCAACTAGACTTGCTCCCCGCCATATATATTACATTTAAAATTTTCTGTTAACCTCTTAAGTGTCCATATCCAGCATTTGCCACTTTATTTATTGCCTTACTATCTATTTCACATGTGCGTGCTCTGTTTGTCAAACAAGGGAATAAGTTCCTTGAGGGTAAAGGCTGGTTTATACAGTGATACGTTGATTAGAAATTCCTTGGGAACAAGGCTCATTTATTCAAAATCGACTATGCTCAAAAATAAAAACAAAACATCTTCATAAGTCATTCTAAGCAGAGCTGCCAGCTTACAGCTGCATGTCAGAAATATTTCAATGCACAGTTTCTGTTTGTCTCTACCGATTCTGAAGTTAACGAGACCCGTCTTGGGGAGAATCTGCAGTCTGAGAAGTTTGCTCTTGGCATGCAGAGCCTCCTCATTTCCAACTTGAGCTTCCGCAGCACCATTGTCAGGCCCCTGAAAAGCGCACATCTCCACCTCCCCACCTCGCCAACCTCCTGCAGAGTGGATAGACCTAGGAGACTGCCCTTTATCTTCATGGATGCATTGAAACTGACTCCCTCTGGACTGTGTGCACTGCACTCACTCTTAGAAGGTGTGAGATTTTTCTGAAGGCAGAGATGTTCTTCACCTTCTTCATCCGTGCACTCCAGTAATCTAGAATAGAGCTTGGCAAAACGTAAATACTCAATAAATATTTGTGGAATCGGTGATTGTTATCTCAATGGGCATTTATACTTTCAACCTTTTATCTCCAGTTGTTTCATAAATTGTTGAGGACTTGTCAATTACCTACATGGGAGAAATGTTCTCCCTCCCCACACCTTCTTAAGCAAAAATGCCCCTGATGTTTCAATTAGGCTGGTCAATCTGACCTGTAGCTGGCCTAGCCTCCCTCAGGAGGAGGTGATTCATGGAGACTTTCCCATTGTCTTTCCAGCTCACTGCCTGGTTCTTGAAGAGGACAAGCTATGGTGGGATCCCTTTCTCATGGCCCATCGTCATCATGTCTACAGACTCATCCAGCCCCTCTTTTGAGCCCCCTTCTCTCCAGGGCTCTCCTCTATCACTTACCTCTGCAAAGGTCAAGCATTCATCCTTAACAATGACCTAATTCTGCCCTCCCGTCCCCTCCCTAGGACTTCCAAATGCACCATTTTATGTTGCTCTATTTGGGATCTGATTTAAGGACTTTTCTTAGTAAAAACCTCTCTTTTCCGACATCCTGAAGAGTCCCATATCATTTCTCTTCCTGGTTCAGAAGTTTCTAACAAAGATAATCTGCCTGGTAAAGAAACCTGCTTGCTAACGGAGCTATAATTTGGGGTGCTTTAAAAAAACCTCCTAGTGAATTATATCCAGGACAAAAAATCTTCATGGAGCTAAATTTAATCATTAGCAGCTCAAGGACAGGAACCCATAGTGTACATTTTCATTTTTTTTTCTCACTGTTTGTAGAAGTCCTAGGCCCAGCACAGACCTGTAATAAACACCTGTTGAATAATTGTTGAATAACTGATTGATTGACAGCCTGCTGAGCATGCCAGATGTTTCTGTCTGGCTACAATGTCTGGGTTTTTCTTTTCTTCTATAAAAATTGTTATGATTTTCAATGCAATTATTCACCAGATTTTCCTCATGTGCCTTTATTTTTCTTTTTCTCCCAGCTTTTCATTTTGAAAAGTTTAAGTTACAGATACAAGTTGAAAGAACAGAATAATAACCCCATTATGCTCTCTACCTGGATCCAACAATGAGTGTTTTCCCACATTTGTTTTTATCTCTTGCTATATCTATGCCTATATTTGTATAACTCTCTACAATATAAATACTTTCATTGCTAGGTCATTTGAAATTAAGTTGTAGACATCAAGAACTTTACCCATAAATACTCCAGCACACAGCTCCTAAGAATGAGGACATTTTTCTAAGTAACCACAATAGCAATATCACAGCTAAAAAATTAATAATAACTCCAAAATATAATCTAATACCCCTTCATTTATTCTTAAATTAGAAAAGCTTGCCTTTTGATCAGACAATGACTTTGCTTTCCAAAGTGGAATTGTGGTCCTAGTTCCCTACAGATCCATTAGGATTTATAGGTATAGTCAAGATGTACAGTTCACATAAGATAGTTGCATTCTCTGGTTCTGGGATGACAAAGGGATGTTCAGGCCCCCAGAATGGGCTGTTTCTAGGGTAGACCAGGTCCATCATCAAGTGGGACCAGGGAGATGTTGCTTTGGGACTCTGAGGGTTGCCATGAGCCCTACATACCTGTTAGAGTTTTTAACCCCACAGCTCCACAATGTATGCTTGCTCTGTCTCTTTCTAAAATCCCTGTTTCTACTCTCCTTTGTCTACTTGCATTGGCAAATGGAAACACTATACACTAGTCAGCTCCACTCTTGGCAGTTCTGATTCAGTAGGTCTGGGATGGGAATCTCGAGAAATTTTATTTTTAAAAAGCTCTCCAAGATCTGCAATCTGGCAGGGGGAGGGGGGAATGGAAAATCCCTCATGAGTTACGTGGTCTGCCTACACAGCTCTGCACATCTTATGTATATGTGTTTGTGGGTTTCTGTAAAATGTCTCCAATTATCTTTGGAAGTGAGTGGAGTATAAACTATAAATAAACGAGAGACTTTCTCAGAACATCTATGTGCGGTGGGACCAGTCTTGGGGACTCTGCAGCTGAAGGTGGGGGACGGTGGAGAGAGACTGTGAACTTGAAGGGAGATGACTGGCTGGGTCTGTGTTTGGTGCTGCCATTGGCTAATTACATGGATGGTTTTGGACAAGTTGCCTGACTTTTCTGAGCCTCAGTTTGTCATCCTCTAAGATGAGCAGAGTAATATGCACCTCATGAGACCTTGAGGTCGTGCATGTGAAAGTGCTTTGTAAACTACCTGCAGGAGTCTAAGTTGAGCCAGAGATAAGTTCACCCAAGAGCCCGGATCTGCCTGGGGGCAGGGGCAGGCACACAAGGAACTGGCTACCGGAGGAGCTGCGGGGCGTCTTGAGAAGAAGCTTACCCTAAAGGAAGGTAGCAACCACAGGCAGGAGGGGTAGGAAATGGGAAGGGGCATTGCTGGGGTTAGGTAAGTGTCGTCCGGGGCTAGGAGGATTCCGCTGGCTCCTTTCCCCAGGACGAAGGGAGGAAAGGGCTCTGATACAAGAGTGTACACGAACGAAAAGCACTGGCTGGAGATCATCTATGTGGAATGTGGACAGGGCAAGGTGCCCGTAGCCCCTATGGCTGACAGAGTAAGTAGAACTTCTCACTAAAGTACACGTATGTCCTTAAGTCTGGGGCTATGGGGGCGTCTTTAACCATGAGTCTCCTTTCCTAGCACTCCTGACACTGGCCTCCTCCTTCCTAGGCCCAACTCTCAGGCTCACTCAGGGGCAGCCTGGGCTGGTGAAGCATCAGCAGAGGCCGTAGTGCTATGAGTGCTGGCTGGCGGCACGGCGACATATTCCCTGGGAGCCTGAGATGAGAGGGTTACACAGCGGGGAAGGTGGGAACAAGAAGACTGCCTTTCAGCAGAATGTCCCCAGGATCCCCTAAGCCCCCGTGATGCTGTGCTCGGTCGCTTTCCTGCCCCACCCTCTCCAGATAGCTGCTGTCCTGCCTAATGGGAAGATTCCTTTCCCCCACCGGCAAGTGTGCCAAGTGCCTCCTAGTGACTCAGTCTCCCTGACTCTGCTACTCGCTGAGCTGCCTTGGGCAAGGCACTTAACAGCACCCTGCTATAAAACTGAAATAGTGAGAGCATTTACTTGATAGGACTGTTGCGAAGATTTAATAAAATAATACACAAACAGTGCCTGGCATATGGTAAGCACATCATTAATGTTTATATGTTCAGGGCAATCGATTCCTTTAACCTAAATCACATTTGATAAACTATTTCTCAGTCACAATTCAAGCCAAGCAATTTCTGGGAAGACAGCAGCAGGTGGTTAACACTGTCCCCGGGGTGTGGGGATTTTGAGCTTAGTGTCACTAAGAGCTGCTCACTGAGGATAGAACTGTAGTACTTCAAAGTGTCCCCTCTCATTAAAGACAGCCCATTGTGGGTCCTGGGAGTATGACAGGGCCTGGGCAAGCTCTTCCATATCTTCTTTTTATAATAACCTCCATAGAAATGTGCTTTCAGTTTGGTGGGAGGGGCGTGCGAACGAGTTCCCATTATCCAATTTCAGTGTTTAATATTTTGTTCCTTTTAAGCAGTCATAATTTTGTTTCTCCTTTTCTCCTGATTGGGTATTGTCCCCCTTTAAAGTATTTTAGAAAAAAGGAAATTGGACAATCAGATTATAAGAAAGGTTCTATTGTGCAAAGTCACAATGTATCATTAAATTGTACAGGGCTCCCGACAACTCTGACAACAGTAACTGGTACAGTGAATTGGCAGCAGAAACGCTGAAGCTGTATTTATGTGCTGCTACAAATATGTAGCTATTCTTACTGTACTATACAGTCAGGAAAAAGCCCTAAGGGCTTCTGGCATGAAAATGTTACATTGATAAATGACAGCCACGGTGCTGAACAGTACTAGGGGCTGACAAAAGGCAAGTCAATGTATATAGAGTTTCCTACTCATTACCTTACCTGTAAACACTAGAAGTCATGCACAAGTGTTTGAAAGTGTCTGTGGAGATGTGTTAGGAAAGTAAATGAAGGTAGAAGAAAGACAAGGAGCGGGTGTTTATATGCCAGCCGTCTAGGGAAGCAAGTTGTAGTATCTTTTAGACGCTTGGGCTGTGGGGTTGTTGCAATGGAATGTTTTTAGGTTTCTGCCTTTTATCTAATCAGCAGAATGAAACTTCAGGGTCACCATATTGCATGTAAAACCACTTTTAAAGAAAACGATTTCAAACTTACCAAAAAAGTTGCAAAAATAGTGCAGAGAATTCACCTATGTCCTTTACCCAGACTCGCCATTTTAAAATATTTTGCCACTTTTTTTTATCATTCTCTCTCTATATTTTTCTTGAATCTTTTGAAAGCAGCTCGTGTATGTCATGCCCCCTTAACCCTTGATACTTTAGTTTATATTTCCTAACAAATATCATATTTCCTAACATTCTTCTAAGCAACTATAGTACAGTTAGCAAAATCAGAAAATTGGACATTATACTATTTACCATAGTGTACCATGGTATATCAGACTATGCTATAGTCCGTAGTCCTGTTTTATTCATTGTCCTACTCATGTTCTCCATAGTATTTTTACTTTCCACTACAGGGGCTTTATTGCATTTAGATATCATGTCTCTTCAGGTCCATTAATCTGGGACATTTCCTTACTCTTTCTTTGTCTTTCACAATAGCCAAAGTGACATTTCTGAAGAATACAAACCACTTACTTTACAGAATGTTCCCCATTTTTTTCCTGATATTTATTCACATCCTTGGCCAGAATACATATTTTCATTTGAATATATTCTCCCTTGGACACCTTGTAATTATTCTTTGTTTCTGGGATAGTTTTTGTCATTATTTTCAATTTCCTTCTTGAATTTGCTCAACCCTTGTTTATATACATCCTTGGCCAGAATACAAAAACCATGATGCTGTCACCTTCTCAGAGTCTCTCCGCAGACTCAGGATATCCATCTGACCCTCATAAGTGATGCTAGTTTTGGTCACCTGGCCAAGGTGCTGCCTATTTCTCCACCAGCTACTAAATCCCCCATCCCCTCACCACCACCACCCCCACCCAGCAGTGAATAATATGTCTATTATCCAACTAAGAAATGTCTGTTGAAAGACATTTGAAGACCTTGTAAATCTCCTCCTTTTCATCAAACTCTTCCTCCCCTAACCACTTCAGCATCCATTCAGGTGTCTTCTCCAAACAAACCTTTACTGCGATGGTTGTAAGATGGTGATCCACTCTTCCCTGAATGTCTATCAGTTGGCATTCTACTCAAAGAGTTCTCCTTTTGTCCATTTATTTATTATCATTGTGTATGCCTAGATTTCTACTTTATTCAGTGTTTATTTTGATGCATATATGGTCTTAGATTTAGCCAGTGGGGCCCCTTCAAGCTGGCTCCTATGTCCTTTTAACATTGTGCTCTCTCTCTCCTCTGCTTCTCTCTTTCTCTCTCTCTCGCTCTTTCTGCCCTTCCTTACTTTCTAGTACAACAAGATGCTCCAGGCTCATTTAATACCCTCTCAACCCCAGTCCTGGAATCAATAATTTCTCCAGTGAACTCTTACAGTGGAGAATGGTATTTAGAAACCAAGATCTGGGTGCAAGGGGTGCTCATTGCTACTGGGATATTATTAATCGGGGCCCTTTAAGTGGACAGATCTAGGAAATATGTATGTATATTTGTTTAAATATGCATACATATGAGCATAGATGTGTGTGTGTGTGTGTGTGTGTGTGTGTGTGTCTGTATGAAATAATGAGTTCATACCGCTATCTCTAATTACAAATCTACTCCACAGGAATCTTTCTTGCCTTCTTCCATCCCATTCTGTATCTCCCTTCTTCCATAGTGAAAAGCCTAGCTCCCCAAAACAATGTATTTCCTGATTTGCTCAATTGCATACCATGCATAAAATAATACAATTGCTATACCCATAACACTATGAAAAAAATAAAGGGCTTTAAAATTCTTTCCAGTTCTAGGCTGAGAGCACATAGCTGGCATACTTTGTTTAAAGTTATGAATATTTTTTTAAGCTTTATATTATTCATTTATAATATAATTGGATTCAGATATTTCTGTTTGGATTCAGTTTTTATTCCTCTCCCCTCAGCTTTCTTGATTTTATTTTGTTTTTTTAATATAGAGAACACTATCATGTTTCCAAAATTTAAGCCTGGAAAAACAGTATACTCAGAGAAGCATCAATTCTTCTCCTATCCCTTCTACCTTTCCCTCCCACCCCTTCTAGGTAACCAACTCAATTGTTTTCTGGTTTACCACTATTGTGTATGTGAGTGTGTATGTGTGTTTTGCCAAAATATGCAGATACATGTGTCTTTTCTTTTCTGCATGGAGTGCTTTCCAGTGAAAACCAGCAAACCTTCTACACAAGTTCTAAAAGAGCTATAACACTTACATGTATGTTTTCTTCTAGTCCCTTCTTTGTTACAGATAAAGTAGCAGATGATACATACCCTATTGCAACTTCCTTTTTTCATTTAACAAAATATCCTGGATATTACGCTATATGTGTTCACGGACGTCTTCCTTATTTATTTATTTATTTTTGTAGTCTTGCCAACAGAATGTTTTGTCAAACTTTTGATTTTTTACCGGTTTGATGGGAGGATAAATAGTATGTTTGTAGTTTTAATTTACAACTCTATTAAGAGCAAAGTTTAATGTCTTTCCATATGTTTATGGACTCTTTGTAGATCTTTACTATGAATTGTCTGTTTATGCTTTTCGCCATTTTTTATAGGAGATTTGGGGTTTTTCCTTAATGTTAAGTACTTTATATGTCAGAGATATTACCTTTTTATCTATAATGTTGTGGAAATAATTTCTCCCAACTTGTCATTTGTAGTTTTTTCAAATTGTGATGAAATATACATCACATTAAATTTACCATCATAACCATTTTAAGTGTATAATTCTGTGCCATTAAGTACATTTACCATCCATCTCCAGAATGTTATCATCTCAAACCGAAACTCCGAACTCATAAATAATAATGGGAACTCCTAATTCCTCTCTTCCTCAAGCCCCTGGTGACTGCCATTTTACTTTTTGCCTCTATGATTTTGGTTACTGTAGGAAACTCATATAAGTGAAATCATTTGGTATTTGTCTTTTTGTGTCTCGCTCATTTCATCTAGCATATTGTCCTCAACGTTCATCCATGTTCTGGTATGTGTTAGAATTTTCTTCTTTTTTAGGGCTGAATAATATTCCATTGCATGGATATACCACATTCTGCTTGTCCATTTATCTGTTGATAGATATTTGTGTTGTCCCACCCTTTGGCCACTGTAAATAACACTGCTATGAATGTGGATATACAAATATCCGTTTGAGTCGCTGCTTTCAATTCCTTTATGTATACAACCAGAAATGGAATTGCTGGATCATATAGTAGTTCTAAATTTAATTTTTTGAGGAACCACTATACCATTTTCAACAGCAGTGCGTAAGGGTTCCAATTTCTCTACATCCTCACCAACACTTGTTATTTATTTATTTATTTATTTTAAAAATGTTTTATAGGCTGGGCGCGGTGGCTCACACCTGTAATCCCAGCACTTTGGGAGGCTGAGGCAGGTGGATCATGAGGTCAGGAGTTTGCGACCAGCCTGGCCAATATGGTGAAACCCTGTCTCTACTAGAAATACAAAAATTAGCAGGGCATGGTGGTACATGCCTGTAGGCCCAGCTGCTTAGGAGTCTGAGGCAGGAGAATGGCTTGACCCCAGGAGGTGGAGGTTGCAGTGAGCCGAGATTGTGCCACTGCACTTTAGCCTCGGCGACAGAGCAAGTGTCCACCAAAAAAAAAAAAAAAAATTTTATATAATAGCTATCCTAATGGATATGAAGTGGTATCTCACTGTGGGTTTTTGTTGTGTTTTGTTTTTTATTTCCATAATCAACACTGGAGGTACATTACAGTTTGTCCTCATGAATTCTAGTTGTTCTCATGAGGTACATTTTGTCCTTGCAGTTTTGACTTTGTCTTTGAAATGCCCCATGTCACATCTAGCTATTCTTCTGATTCCCAGGTCTAGAAACTACAGTGACTTCAGACCTGCCCCATGTACAATGGAAAGACTTCCATAACCTTTTTTCTTCTACCTCTAACATTGTCTAAAGTTTAATCTCTATCATACATCGCTTATTCCATCAAACTAATAATGATTTTACTTTGCAGATCAAATCCTAATGATATACAATTGATAAGTGTTTAGGAAGGGAAGTTTTGGGCTATAAATTGTCCCTCTTCATCTCATTTAATGCTTTTTGGCCTACTCTGTTTTGTTTGATATCAGAATCACAGCACCTGCTTTTTCAGAGTTGGGGTTTCCGTTATGCCTACATTTGAAAATCTTTTATTTTAAAGGGTGAACTGAGCCCACTTATAAATTGTTATATCTGATGTGGGTTGGTCTCAGCTGTGTCATATTGTTTCCTATTATAACTACTGCATCACTGTGCCACACTTACTGTGTTTCTTTCATTATTTGGTATGTATTCTTTGCTATTTTTAGAACTTTTGGGGTTTTGGAATAGGGTTTCCAATATTTGGGAATACATATATTTTGTTGTAGTGATTTTTATTTATATTTTTAATATATTACCCTTAATTCCTATATTTTGTTTCTAACCTTTTAACATCTGGTCTGTCTGTTTTATATGGTATCCTTTCACTACTACCTGCTACTGATATTGCAGACAATGATATTATTCTATTTTCCCTTCGCTCTTCCCCTTCTCCTCCAGTTGTCTTTAGTTGCACCTGTTCTAAGTTTATCAGAAAGTATAATGTATATACACTAGTCTTTCACCTTCTGAATATACAAAATGCTCTCCATTAGTCACTCTGCTGGCTTCCTCAGCTGTCTCTTGGTTGGAGGAAGCTCATTCTCTAAGATTCCTCATGAAAGGCCCATGTGAGTCACGTTCTCTGAATTTTTGCATTCAGGTCATATCTGTTTGCCTACAACCTTGACACTTGAGGGCTGGGTATAAAAATCACTGCCTGGTACTTTTTTGTGTGTGTGTCATGGAGTCTCGCTCTGTCACCCAGGCTGGAGTGCAATGGCATGATCTCAGCTCACTGCAACCTCTGCCTCCCGGGTTCAAATGATTCTTCCACCTCAGCCTCTCGAGTAGCTGCGATTACAGGCACCTGCCGGCTAAGTTTCATATTTTTTTTAGTGATGGGGTTTCACCACTTTGGCCAGGCTGGTCTTGAACTCCTGACCTCAGGTGATCCACCCACTCTGGCCTCCCAAAGTGCTGGGATTACAGGCATGAGCCACTATGCCCAGCCTGCCTGGCACTTTTGTTCCTTGTTAATGCTGCTCCACTGTTGCCTGGCTTTGCATGTTGCTGTTCAGAAGTCTGATGCCAGCATAAATTTTTATCTCTATAAGCAATTTGATCTTTTTTGCCTTTAAAATCTAATCGTTTTACTAAAATATATTTAGGAGTTGATAATTCCAGATCATTTCCCAAGGTACATGGAAGTCACTTTTGACATGTACATTTAAATTTTCCCTTATTCCTGGATTATTTTCTGGGGTTATAGTTTTAATATTAATTAGGTTTTATTGTTTAATGTTTGTACTTTAGGGACTCCACTTAACATGTATTTTGGTCTTCCTTTCCTGGCTTTTATTTTAACCTCTTCTCTCTGAACCTTTTTACTTCTATCTTTATATTATTTTCAATTTCTTGATTGTTTTCTTGCCATTCTTCAGTGTCCTTTTACATATTTTCATTTGAATATATTTTCCCTTGGACACCTTGTAATTATTCTTTGTTTCTGGGATAGTTTTTGTCATTACTTTCAATTTCCTTCTTGAATTTGCTCAACCCTTGTTGCATTTCTTCCTAATTTTTGTCTAGTCTGTCTTCAGTTCTTGAAATTTCTTATCCTAGATATGTGTGTGTGTGTGTATGTGTATACAAATACGTGACACTTTGTTCAGTTTGACATGTGGTATTACAATTTTCTTATGCTTCATGGTTTTTATTGTGGGGGTTTTCATCAGCGAAAATGTTATGATTTATTTTTTATCATCAGAAATGTGATTTCTGTTTTCTTTTTGCAGAATCTTTAAATGCAGTTGATTTGATGTTTTTCTGTTACTAGGCATTTTGAGGCAGGGTTCCCGGTTCAAGAGTGTTTTCTTTTATCTGTGTACTGAAATGCAGTTTTTAATAGATAATGTTGGTGTTTGGGGAGGGGACTGGCTGTCTTCTCTTTCATTTCTGCAGGATTTGTAATTTTCCCTTCTGACTTCCTTCTTTCCCTTCATTGTCAGGCCTCTGAAGGACATTATCTTCTTTTCGTATTTATCTGACTTTTTCCCAGAAACAAGGCTCCTTCAAGCCTCTCACCTCTTGTCCCATTTTCTTTCAAATCTCTTCCCTTGATCAATAAGGCACCTGACCTCTGTTCAGTTTTTAGTTCTTGGTGTTGGACTTTCTATTTATAAAGAGGTGACAACCCTGTACTTCACTTAAGTCCTTGGCAATAGTGGAGGGAGCTCAGTTGGAATTTGGTATCTTTTCTTTCTTCTACTTAAGTAATTTAATGTTCAGTTCATGGCATTCTCTCTAAGTAATGCTGAAGGCTTGTTTTTGTTTCGTTGAGGATATGGGTACGGACTTATATCAGGCAGCTGCCATTATCCTCTGACCGAGAAGCTCCTGAAAACATTTAATATATCAAGTTCTAAGTAAAATTTCTGTCTTTCTTAGGAACACTGGAAGCTTTGCGTGTTGCAAGGGCATCACCAAGGTTACATAGATTATGTTACAAGACAGATCGTTTTCTTGTATCGTTAAAGATGCTTAATGTGCTTTTTAAAGAACGCAACGAATGAGAAAGAAAAGATTTTAAACAATATATTATTGCTTTCCTTCTTCCTCATTTTGTGTTTATTGAAAAGAACAACTCTACCATTGATAGCTCTGTCACCCACAGAAAAATGTTCTTTTGAAAATTACCTTCTCAGTTCCTACCAACTCAAAACCTCCACATCTGCCTATATAGATAAATAAAATCGATACCAGCGGGTCAGGAATGTTTTGCTGCAAGATTAGTGAGAAAACTGCAGCAAGCAGCAGCAAAGTCGGGTTCAAGCGGGCGGTTTGCACCAAAAACTCAGGTCAGTTGGCCAATAAGAGCAAGCCCGTTAAGGGTCTGAGGTGGCCCCAAAGACCAAGGCTGAAGAGGTGACAGTCTGGGCAGGAAGCACCGAGGCCACTACCGCCCCCGTAATCGAGAGGCCCCGTGTGCGTGAGCAAGGCTCTTTGCCCACGTGTGCGCGCGCTCCAGTCGGGTCCCGGGGCAGCCACCTGTCACTCACGGGGGAGGGGGCGGCCGGCGGGGGGAGCACGCTGAGGGGCGGGCGGCCGGGGGCGGGGCGGCGCCCAGGCCCTCACGGCGGAGCCCGGCGTGCTGCAGCCATGGAGACGCGGCAGTCCCCTCCCGCGGCCCGCGCCCCGGCCCCCGCAGCCGCCGCCGATTGGTCGCCCTTTGCTCCCTGACCCCCCTCGCCGCCTCCGAGGCCGCTGCTTCCTGCTCTGGTGCCGCGCGGCGCCGCCGGCCCGGGGCGGAGCTCGGGCGCCGAGTGCGCGCCGCCGCCGAGCAGTAGCACCGCGCGGGAGGAGGAGCCGCCGCCGCGCCCTTCCCCTTCCTCCGCTCCTCCCCCGGCCCCCACCGCGCCCGCGGCCGGCCCAGGCAGCACTCGCGAGCAGCGGCGGCCCCGCCGGCGGCCGAGTTGGGAGAATGCGGCGGCGCTCGCGGATGCTGCTCTGCTTCGCCTTCCTGTGGGTGCTGGGCATCGCCTACTACATGTACTCGGGGGGCGGCTCTGCGCTGGCCGGGGGCGCGGGCGGCGGCGCCGGCAGGAAGGTGAGTGGAGCGCCCTGCCGCGGCCGGGCCCCTGCGCCCACCCCCCACCCTGCGCCCCTGTCCCCTGCCCTCTCCGCGCCGCCCCTGCGCTCCTCCGCCCGGACCTCCGCTCGCGTCGCCCGCCCTCGTCCCGGGCCTCCGCGCCGAGTGCCCAGGGCAGGGGTGCACCCGGCCCCTCTGCGCACGCCGGGCTCCGAAAGGGCGGCCCCCGCAGCCTTTCTCTGCCCCCTCTCGTGGACGTCGCCCCTCTCTCTGCTCGTCGTAATTCGAGTCTTGTCCGGCCGCCGGGAGCCCCATCCCCTGCGGTTGGAAGTTTAGGGATGGGGGTGTTGGGAAACACAAAGGGGGTGGGGAGGAGAGGAGAGAGAGGCGACCGCTTTTCCAACGCGTCATGTACAGCAGGAGAGAGGAGTCCAAGTTTCTTTTCAGCCCTTTGATACCAGCGGCTGCAAATCCTCGTCCCTTTCCCCCTGTCACTCCGCGGGGCGTGGGTTCCGTGTTTCTGCCACCTTCTTTGCCCTTTACCTTTGGGGGGCAGGGGCGGCCGCTCCCGTGCCAAGTAAAGCCCCAGGGCCCGTGCGAGCCAGGGGCCAGTGCGCCCCTGCGCCCCGAGCGAGGCCAGTCCCGGCCGTTCCCTTGCGGCCCCAGCGTTACCCTCTGCCCAACCCGGCCCCCGGCCCTCCCGCGCGAGCCGGACGTGGCCTCCTGCGCTTGCATTTTCCATCCCCACTCCCCGCTTCAGGGAGAATCCCTCTTCTGTGGCTGTGTTTTTAACATGCTCCAGGGGCCGAGTGATCTGGCTGTGGGGACCGTGTGAGCCGCTCTGCGGTTCCGCGTCCTCGTGCCGCCGCTCCGGACGGCCGGGCCCTGGGCATTCGGGAGGATGGTGAGCGCCGAGAGGAGCCGGGACAGCGCGGTCCTGCGGCCGAGCGCCGGCCGGGAGAGCAGGGCGTCGGGCTGTGTGCTGGAGCATGCCGGCAGGGGACGTTTGTAGTGTTTTACTGGCTCCTCGGCTTTGAAAGCAGCGTTATCTTTTCCGAATTCCTGTAACCCTCGTTACTGTGACATTTAGTGTCACCGCAAACCCAGAAAATTCTGAGTTAATGGAGATGGACTACGGGTGGTTGGGTTGGAACAAGAGAGTGGTATCCTGAAACAAGCCAGAGGGAACTAACTAGATGAACAGACTTCAGTTCTGAAGTCAGACCCCTAAATGTCCACGCCGGGGTTTGGCTGCTTCAGAGGTTTTTTCTTTGCTTCATTCATTCATTCATAGCCGAAGATGTTAGGTGGAATGGGTGCCTTATGTGGTTTCTGGTAAATTACGTGGATTTGTTTTATCTAGAAGGGCAGAAATAAAGCCCTCTTTCCACGTGCTGAATCGGCCTAGCTTCTGAGCTGACATTGTACTCTTAGCGTTGTTTTTGTAAAAAATGGTATAGGTAGTATATGTACGCGAAGACTTGGTTTATTCTTGAACAGCAAAGAGCATGCAGGCAGCAAAAGCCGTGCAGTCCATTCAGAGATATAATCGTGTAAAACTGGAATGATTTTTAAAACTTTGCTTCCCGGTAAACTGTGCCTTGGCCACTCTGCATAGCCTGGTGTGCTGGTGAGACCTGGCAAAGCTTTCTGCCTTTCATGCAAAGAAAACCAAACACATAAGCCACCCTTGGCGTTTCTCTTTCCTTAGTCTGCCACTTTCATTAGTACACGTGATTAGAAAGAGCAAGCGTGCTCGTTCGCCTCCCGGAGGCTGATTCCTCACTCTGGTGGGCTTCAGTTCCTGGATGGTGTGAGGGGTCTTCCATGCAGAAGTCTTCAGACACTCCTGAAGTGTGTGATTCTTAGTTTGTTTTTTTTTGTTTTGTTTTGTTTTGTTTTGTTTTTTTTAAAGAATTCCTGGTGGCAATATAGACAGGTACGGAGACCAGGTAGAAAAAGTGGGGGAAATGAACAATTAATTACACATGGATTGGTGATTTGGGATTCTATTCTTTCTGTCAACGAACCATAAAATTTAATGCTACCCCTTAGGATGCTTTAGTGATTTGTCGGTTGAGGAAGAGGTGTGTAAATGCAATAGCTTTTGAAATTGCAGTGGAAGACTCATTAACTTCGTGTGGTGGACCCAGGGTTAAAGAGAAGCCTTAAGATGGTTTCTGAAGGAGGTAAATAGAGCCCTGCTGTCACGAATGCCTGATGTATAGGAAAATCGTGTAGTCTTCTTTCTTCCCCAATTGTTTCCATGGATTTAGACACTAGAAGTGTCTCTAAATTTATTTCATTCTCATACCAAAAAAAAAATGTGGTTTGTTTGGCTTGTAAAGTATGGACATAAAAAAAGATAGCGGGCCATGCACAGAAAGGCAGAATTTAAAAGCTAGCTATAGTTTTTTTAGAGATAAGTGGACCTATATTTTTTCTCTTGCCTCATACTGTTCAAGTCAGGGCTTTTATTCCATATTTAGCCAGTTTCTGCACATCCTGACGTTTTTCATAGGGTACTAGGCTGCAGTATTGGGCTTTAGGGATCGTCTGAGGGGAGTCCAACTAGGATTTCTGCTGCTTCAGCAGCCCAGCCCAGGCTTGTCATTGTGTGCCCTGCCTGTTAAGTAACTCATCACAGAACTGTTATTCTCCACTTGGCAAAACCCAGAGAGCCAGCTCACCTCAGATTGCAGGTTTAGTAAACTAAGCAGGAGGGAGTGCTGAAGACCAATCTCAGGCACTGCCGCACAACTCGGGACTCAACACCCAGGCTCAGGACATGTATGTTAAAGCAGTTTATTCAAAATATTGTTTAAAATTATGTTTCATTTACATTTGTGTCCATACCCTTTCCCCCCATATTTTGCTCTTTCCCCCTAAATTGATGATTTGCACTTCAAGCGTGCCTTTCCTTTGAGCTTCTTAAATGCTTTAAAATTTTAACCATGTTAAGTCTCCCCTGGGCTTTGGTACGTTGGCAGTGGATGGAGCCGCAGAAGAGAGGAAGGGATTTCTCTGGAAATGAAGCTGCCTGTGGGTGAAGTGTGGCTGTTTAGGGTGGAAAGGGAAGGGTTTTCTCTCTGCTGTAAGAGTGTGTGGAGCCTGAGACCCCTTGCCTGTGTGCCTGCATGCTGGGAGGTAAGGGACGGTGTTAGTTGAGGGACATGATCCGGAGCCCTGGGAGCCTGTCCACTTTGCACAGTAGCATCACCCTTATTCCCTGAGCTGGCACGAGTCCTGTGGCCCTTGCCCGAGAGTCCAAGGGTGGGGGACTTTGGGTGGGATCTTCTAGGAATCATGCGGGGAGGCGGGCAGGTTATTTCTTGGAACAGTGAAGGACCTTGCCGGGCTAGACCATGGTACACATGGAGGGGAACGTTAGGGTGTAAAGTTGGAGAAATTCAGAACTAAATTGTAACGGGCTTCAAATGCCAAGCTGAACCATTTGGGAACTAGTAATGTTTTTGAGCTAGTAGTAGACATTAAAGGGAAATGGCACAAATCCACTTATTGGCATTGAGTGAGACCTAGCTGTTTACCTCTTTGTGCTTAGTGACCTTCACTGATGCATTGAACCTCTCTGACCCTCAGTTTCCTCATCTTTGCAGTGGGAGTAATCATTCTTACCTCATGGCCTTGTTCGGAGAGTTAAATACTGTTAGTGGGTGCTGAATAACTGCTATCTCTAAAAGAGGAAAATGAAAAAATAAAAGCCTAAATATCCCCTTGAAAGTGTAGTGAACCAGGAATCTTAAGTTCACGGTATTCCTGATACAATTCTTGATTTCTGGAAAATAGTCGTCTTTCTTTTTTTTATCCGTTACCCCCACCTCTGAGATTGATCTGACTGGTTCATTTGGGGTTTGGGCTATGAATCTTAAATGCTGTTAGAGACGGACTTTTTGGGAAGTTGTCCAGACACCATGCCAGCTCTCTTGTACCCAATTGTGGTGTCAGAATGGGGATCCCAGTAGTGGGCAGCCATCGGGAATGTGGGTGGAGGGTGCAGCTTGCCTTGGCGGTTAGGCAGTTGTAGTGTCCAACAGTGGACAGACGTGTCCCTGAACGAGGGGTTCCTGTGGTGGGATCCCAGGTTCTGAGCTCCACTGCTCTCCCTCTGTAGCCCTGCCCCTCTTGTTAGAAGGGCAGGTCGCTGTGATCCCTGGAAGCATGCATGACTTGAGGTGGAGCATGGGGCCCTCACGTGGTTTAATGGGTGCCAAAAATCTGTGAGCATCTTGGTGGATGCGGAGGGGAACACCCATACCACTCCTTGCCACCTATCATCAGTTTGGAGTTTAAAGAAAGTCCACTTCAAATGAGAGTTTGAAGTTGACACAGGGAGGACAGTAGCAGGGAAAACCACTGTATAGCCAGATAATCCGACAGTGGCACTGTAACATAAACTTCTCTCTTTAAAGAAAATAAAGTTTCCCAATTCTGGAGTGAAGCTGTGGCTGCCTCTGGGTCAGCAAACATAATGGAAACAGATTGTGTGACTGCTGAACAGTGCAAAAGTAACGAGCTCTTCCCTAGACCCTTGAGCAAAAATGAAAAAGCAACTGCTTTACCCAGCACTGAGTGGGGTCAGCTTGCCCAGGCTCTGTTGGACCTTGGGGTGGGGGACACCTGGGAGGCTGGTGAAGGTTTTATGAGTCTTCAGACCCGCTGTCAGTTTCCCCACCCTAGCTCCTGTTTGGATGAATGATGGGTGAGTGGTTGGTCTCCTGTTTGGAACAGAGGAAGAGGTGGTCAGAAAAATGATGGGAGAGGGGGTGGGGGAGATTGGGTTGGGGAAGACATAATTTCTTCTTGCTACTGCTCATGTTTCTTAGGGCTTTGGGGAGAGGGAAGTCAGTTTGGGAAGATACTGATTTTAGTGTCAAAGCAGGCAAGGCCACTGTCCTGCCTAACTTCTAGCAAGTCCAGAGGCAGTGGGCTTAGTGAAAGCAGGTGTGGTGGGGCGGGGGTGGCGGGGGGTGCGGTGAGGCTGCCTGGGACAGAGACACAGGTGTAAGCAGGAGTCGACTGTGAGGCTCTGGCTGAGATCCCAGGAAGGGAAGCTAGGTATTCCTGGGAAAAGCCTGTGAAGTCTCCTGGAGTGCCCAGCAGAATTCACGTGATGAGAAAACACACAAACCTGGCCAAGTCTATGCTCCCTGTTGGTTTTTGTGCTTTTGTCCTTGTGAAGCCTCTTCTGGAAGCTCTGCATGGGTGATGCTGAGCCGTACAAGTCAGTGGATATCCAGATGGAAACACACTGGCTTAGCCATGCCACTCACATGTAACAGTGGGGCACTTCCATGCTGGTTGTTAAATATGCTCTGCCTTGAGACCCCCTGAGTGCCCTCCGGTTCCTAGCTGCCCTGGTCTTTCCTTGGGATCTCTTTCCCATGTTCAGCAATCAAAGGGTTGAATCCTGACACTTGAGGGGCCTCTTGGACCCACTTCTGTGCCTGTGCCATAGTGAACATGCTGATTGTCACCCCTGCAAATGTGCCACTTGGATAGAAGGAGGCCTAGCCCCACTTCCATGATGGGAACAATCCCTTTTCCCTCTGAGTAAGTCTTGATTCACTGTTACTGTTGAGAGTTCTGGTTCCACCATTGTAATCTTGTGGCCTTGCCTCTAGACTGCCTTATGGGTGAGGTGTTTTTAAGGAGGAGGGATGTCTTGGTACTTCCATATGCAAACCCCCCTGAATGGGTCTGGGATAGGCTGGGCCTGGCGGGGAACTCTCCTCTATGGAGAATTACATTGAATTCATTGATGTGTGCTCACCAGTGATCACTCCTGTCCTTAGAGTGGAACTTGACCTTGTTCTCTTAACAGTGTGAAGATTCCTTTACCTTGGCCCTGTGCTTGATCTTCATGATGAACCCAGTATGGAGTTGGCAGGAAAGCTGTCTTCAGATTACCTGCCCAGTCCAGAAAGCCTCTCCCACCTTTCTCTATTGTAAACCATGGAAATAAAAGGGGCTCAAGACACTAATCCATCTTCCCTGATGGGCCCCCACCTTTCTAGGGTTCCCTGCTCTAAGCAGGTGGCACTGTGCTCCTGCCTGGCTCTTGCCTCCTGCAGCACAGGGTGAAACACTGGCATTTTTGCACTTAGTCATGTCTACTAGTATGGGCCCCAGAAGCATGGGGTGTTTTATATGGATTAGGTTTCTTAGCATGCTGAAATGTAGATGACAGTGATTCATCAGGGCCGGATTTGGAGATAAACAAAAACTGTCACATAGAGTCTCACTCATAGGCTTACATTTAAAAAGCTTTCCCAGGCTATGGGAGTTATATGAGCCCCTTGTCTCACTGAGGCGGGCTGTCACAAAGAAGCAGTTAAGGGCTGGCTGCCTGGGGGCTGGGAAATGGGCCGATCCCTCATGGCTCAGCCTGCCCTTGCTGGCTGCTTGCCCTGGTCAACTGTCCCTTCTGCCGCAGCCTTCCAGGAGCTCCCCATGGAACAGAGAGTCTCTCCTAGGCCACTCTGCTGACCACCTCCTCCTGCCCATGGCTGGCAGTTTTCTGTCCCTAACTCTTAGGGAAGAGGAATGGCCAGGAGGGTTGGGGGTAGAGTTACTGAATTTCCAGAGTTCAGGTCAGGACATGCATTTGGGCAGGGACAAGGGTACTTTCGGGACTGTGGTTGCTCTGGTTCAGTTTCTTAACTCTGGCACCATTGACATTTTTGGCTGGCTTTTTTTTTTTTTTAAGACAGTTGTACTCTGCCACCCAGGTTAGAGCTCAGTGGTACAACCAGAGCTAACTGTAGCCTCAAACTCCTGGGCTCAGGTGATCCTTTCACCTCACCCTACCGAGTAGCTAAGACTATAGGCATGTGTCACCACAGCAGGCTAATTTTTAAATTTTTTGTAGGGACAGGGTTTCACTATGTTGCCCAGGCTGGGCTCAAGCGGTCCTCCTGCCTTGGCCTCCCAAAGCATTGGGATTCCAGGTGTGAGCGACTGCACTGGGCTGGATCATTCTTTGTTGTGCAAGGCTGTCCTCTGCATTGTATGATGTGTAGCAGCTTCCCCAGCCTCTCCCCACTAGATGCCAGTAGTTCTCCCACCCCTGATCTTCCAAGTTGTAACAACCAAAAATGTGCAGACATTGCCAAGTGTCCTGGCGAGGGTGGGAGGTGGGCAGAATTGCCCTTGGTAGAGAACCACTGCCTTAGTCCGTTAATTTTGATTTCATTCCTTCTGTCTGAGCCATTATGGTTAGACCTTCTTGTAATGAGACTGCCTTTCTGTGTGGTCTGGGGTGAACCACTGTGGGGAGGGCTAATATATTAATACGTTTTAATTTTCAAAATTTAATAAACACTTTCATGGCACTCACTGTGCATAGAAATAAAAGGGCTGCATTTCATCTCAGCCCTTTTATTTCTTCTAGTGTACTGATGAAACTGAAGCACAGAAAGGTTAAGTGACTTTCCCAAGGTCACAGAGCTCACAGGTGGCAGACCCAGGGTTGTCTGGTGGAAGAGATCTCCTCAGGGCCTCTGGAGGCAGTGGGGTTTTTCTGCAACTCCTGGCCGAGGGTTTCTGCCAGCCAGCAGTGAACCTGGCTTGCTCCTGCTCCCTGGGCCTCCCATGCCCCTTCCTTGCATTGGCAGTGCCCTCATACTGCGGCCTCATTTGGAAAGTTCCTGGAAGGCATCTTGGAGCAGATGCACACTTGATAATGCTTTGATAGTAGTGCTGGTCTGTTTTGCTTTTTTTTTTTTTTTTTTTTTTGAGACAAAGTCTCACTCTGTCGCCCAGGCTGGAGTGCAGTGGCACAATCTCGGCTCACTGCAACCTCCGCCTCCCGGGTTCAAGCGATTCTTGTGCCTCAGCCTCCTGAGTGGCTAGGATTACAGGCACCTACCACCATGCCCAGCTGATTTTTGTATTTTTAATAGAGACAGGGTTTCACCACCCAGGCTGGTCTCAAACTCCTGACCTCAAGTGATCCACCCACCTCGGCCTCCCAAAGTGCTGGGATTACAGGCGTGAGCCACCGTGCCCGGCTGCTCTTTTCTTCATTTTTACCTTTTGCTCCATGGAATTTGTGTTCCTACCCTCCAGGCCTCTGCCTGTCCTGAAGGCCGCAATCCTCAGCTGCCCCTCCGGAAGGAGCAGAGATGAAAACTGGCTCTGGTTCTTTTCATTTATTCTTTCAGTGAGTATCTCTTGAGACCCTCCTATGTGCCAGGCACTGCTTGAGTGTTTGGGAGTACACCAGTTGTTGTAGCAGACACGGAATCCTTGTGGTCTTGGAGCTTTCATTCTAGTGGGGGGCTGCGGGGAGCCAGACAGTAGACATGAAGTCAGTTACGTCGTGTGCAGAAAGGTGCTGTGTGCTGTGGAAAAAATAGAGCAGTGTATGGGGATTAGGGATGAGGGCGGAAGGATAGTTGCAGTATTAAAGTGGTGATCACGTAGGCTCATGGGGAAGGCAGGATTGGAGCTGAGACTAAGAGGGAGCCATTGTGGTTCCCTCTGCTTCAGAGGTAGCCCCTGGTTTCATCTTCGTCCAGCCTCTTTTTCGGTGATCTCTCTACTCCTTGGTTTCTTTTGCTAAACAAATGAGCCAGTTTTCTTTCCCGAAGGATGTTGCCTTTGGTTGGCTAGTGGTGGAGTTTCCCTCCATGCTGTAGACATCTTGGTCACCTGTTCTTGTTCTGGTCTCCTCGATGAGGCATGAATGCATCCTGGTTAAAAGGTTGTGTGTACTCTCATAATCGCTTCCCTTACTACAGACCTGCAGCTGCTCGAGGCAGTTTTAATTTAGACTGCTCCAGCAGTTTAATTTGCTGATCAGCTTCGTGGGATATGCTTGTGGAACAATCTCATTTCTTGATTCCTGAGCTGACTTCTGTGAAGCACCAAGCATCGGGTAAGTCATTCATTGTTAGGTGCACCATTGAAGAACAGTACACATTCTTAAAGTGCTTTCTGCACATATTGCTGTTTAACGAGAAATCCCCCTGGGTCCCTGTGCACCTTTTCCAGCACAGGATTTCCGCTGTGATGTGATCTTTGGGAGTTGCTGCGGGTGGGAGTGGGGTTTGTTGATTCATATTTGCAGGAAACCAGAGATCAGATGCCTGCCTGATACCCAGGCTTTGGAGAGGGGGGTTATTCTTGGCAATGTGGGTAACACTGAGCTTCTGTGATAGATAGTATTGTACTTGGGGACAGTAAAATGGAGATGTGACTTCATGGCCAATCTCAGGGAGGCGGAACTGTGGGAAGTTGTGGCTGGTCCTGGTTCTCAAGGTGAGGGCATGCAGGTGCTTTTCATAGAGGCCATTCTCATTTATGAAGGGTCATTAGATATTTTATCGGATTGGTAGGTACCAATCCCATAAAACCATTGGGATGGTTAGGCACCGTGCGTCCAGTGTACTTCTGGATAAAACAACTGGAGCATTTACATGGCGGGAAAAAGAACAGGTAATTTGAGAGGCCTTCACATTCAAGAGTGGCCATCAAGGTTTCTTCCTCTCTGCGTCAGAGACCAGTCCAGGGAGTGAACTCTTTTCTTTCTGACAGGCTGCTGCCCTAGAAAAATGACGCACTTCAAATGAAGGGTCTTTCTTAGCTAAATTGCCCTGTGAGAGCTTGAGGAGCCGGTGCAAATTAAAGGCCTGTGTTTTGGAGATGCCCATGAATTAAGTACTCTGTTATCAGTATTTGGGTAAGTGTAGATGACTGTTGGGTAGGGGCATTTGTATGGCTGTCCTGGATGATGAGAGGGTTGGCCCAGTGTGGGATGCCTCCCAGTCTCATTGTTTCCTCCTTGCTGCCTCTGGGGCTTTCCCCTTGACCTAGATGTTGAGCTTTTGCTCTGTGACCTTCAAAAGGCCTGCCCTGCCGCACTCTCCTTCCCCTCCTGCCCTTGTCCTGCCCCATCCCCTGTGCCAGGGAGCTCACTTAGTTGTCTTCCTGTCTCACTTTTGATCATCACTAATTTCCCCTGTGTCTGGAATACAACTTTTTCATCAATTCCGAGAGGCCATTATTTGTCAAACATGCCATTATTTTGTGGACCACTAGGAAAGAAAAAACACTGTCCATTGACCTGTGACACAACGGGTTCTTATCAGTTGGCATTCTTATTTTCTACTTATTGAAAGAGCTCTTTCAGACCGAGACATCAATTTTTCCATATATCACTCTCGGGCATAGATAGATACAAAGGAAAATACAAGTGAAATACATTGAGCAAAGTGTTCTAAAAGTTTTTCAGAGTCCAAGCACTCTGAGTCACTTTTTGACTCAGATGTTAGTGCCTATTTTCTTCAAACAGAGTCATCCACTGTGCCACCAAAAGCGCTGGTGATGTAGCATTTCCTAAGGAAAAAAATCCATAAAAATACTAAGAGCCATTGGTTCTGGACTTTGAAGACAGCTTGGCAATGAAGTCGAGGTAGCCAGCCTTTGACTCTTCTGGGAATTTTGCCTAACTCCTCAATTCACCATCCATTCCTATCCCACCATGATTTGGTTTTTAGGGATTAAGAGTGCTTGCTTCATTGTCGTTTCTTGGATTTTCTTCTAAGCCATTGACGTATATGTCCTGCAGATGTGGATGATTGAGCATGGGCTGGTAAGAATGCATCATGGGCCTTGCCCAGCCCATAGCATTGCCGACGTCATTGATTGTGAGCTGCATTCCAGTCGGGGGTGGTGGAGGAAAGGGCATCTTAGAATTGACCAATTACAGCCTTTCTTTTTCTCGTGTGTCACATTGCAGTTGGGCCTTCATATCTGCGGGTTGCACATCTGCAATTAAGGCAATTCCTACTTTATTAGTGGTTATATTATTAAAAATCCTTATTTTTTGAAGAACAATACAAACTGTGGATACAATGTGTCGTATTTGGGGGGGGATCATGGAAGAAGCCAGATGTGCTGTTGAAGTTGACCAGTGGGTTCATGGAGTTCATTCTACTGTTTTATTTTTGTGTACTTTTGAAAAGTTCATTTAAAAAATTTAAAAAGATATTTACTCATGTATGCAGCATAAATTAAAGAAGCAGCTGAAAACTAGTATTTTTGTAAAAAGCAGCTCAAAGGGTTTGTGATCGTATTAGTCCAGAGGTGCTTCTGCCTCACAGCTCTTCTGTAGTTTGGGATATTCCACAGTGATTCTTTTCATAGGGAGCATCAGAGATCACGTTAGATCCTGACTTAGTACCTGTATCACCAGGGAAGCATTCTTACATTGGTTGCTGTTTCTTCTGTGAGGAGTATCTACATTCTTTGGAAATTGCTAATCCTGGTGCAGTTTCTGGTGGTAGAGGATGAGCTCAGGCGGTCTGTGAGGTCATTTCTGCCTAAGCAGACTGCCCGGTGGACCAAAGACCCTGTTACCCACCAGAGTTCACTGTAGATGTTTTATTTTATTTTATTTATTTATTTTTAGAGTCAGGGTCTCACCCTATCACCCAGGCTGGAGTATAGTGGCATGATCATGATCATAGCTCACTGCAGCCTCAAACTCCTGGGCTCAGGCGATTCTCCACTTCAGCCTCCCAAGTAGCTGGGACAACAGGCATGAGCCACTGCGTCCAGCCAGATGTTTTATTATCTTGACTACACCCTTCTCATTTGCCAGGCACCTCTTTATGTTCAGTCTTTCTGCCAGATTTTTCACTCATGCTAGGCAGCTTTGCTTGTGGTTATAAGCTATCCATCAGGAGCTGTGGATGACTTGGGAAGCTGAGTGGGAGACCGTTAATAAATATGTGTTAGTCCTTTTGGTTCTCCCAACAAGATATTGATGCTAAAGGCTATTTTACGTGGTATTTGTCAATAAGAGATTTTGGCAAATTATGATACTGCGTATCTTCTGTAAGGTATAATTCCTGGTACTTCAAATTTATGTCAGCTTTGTCTCTGAGATGTCTGAAATGCTTTAGAGCCATTGCTCATTTGTCTTGCTTTTCAGCATGCCTGGGAGAATGAACAGCTGGGGAGAAAGAACAGCTTTTCTTCCCACATTCACACACAGTTTCTGATGGACCCACAGGTTACTAGCCTGCCCCACGGGTCATGCAGTAGCAAAGTTGGGACTAGAATTTCAGTGTTCCTCCACCTGCCTAAAGTACGGCTCTGGAGAAAGTCAGCCCTGGCTGTCCTGGTCTTAGTAAAGCTATAGTTCGTGAAACATCAGGTTACAAATAGCAGGTTTCCCTCTTGCTGACGCAGAGCTGCAGCTTCAGGCTTGGAAGGTGCTGATTACTGGGGCTGGTGATCTACTAACCCTTTATTGAAACTGCTGATGTGGATGATCGAGAAGCAGAGAGCCGGGAGGAGAATGTAATTCAAGTCTGGGTTCTTGGATGGTCTAAGCTCCAGGCCTGAGGCTGGCCGTCATGAAAGGAACATAACTGTGGCTGTCCAGGCCTCATAATTGGGCTCATGGAGGCAGACGGGCTCATGAGGAATGTCCCTATGGAGAGGGTTGCTGAGGCTCAGCCTCCATCTGCACTTCAGTAACTTAGGAGCTCACACATTCTTATGGGTCAAGAAGTAATCTGGGTCACTAAGCATTTGCCTAGGAAGATGTGAATTTGGCGTCCTTTGTTTTAGAAAGAAAAGGGATAGAGGTAAAGTTTCCCCTCTTCCTGGTAATAAATGTGACTTGGCATATGTCATAATTGCAGTAGTGTTTGTACTTAAGACATAGGTTTTAGTTTAGAGGATTTTTCTCCCTAACTGGCAGTGGAGAGTGTGTGGAGTCATTTTCCTTGTACTGGCCCTGGAAGGATATTTTTGGTGATCTAATTTTTTTATTCCAGTGTTGCAAAGCGCCGACATCATTATCAAATGTGCCATAGTTGTTTGGAAGCGAAGCTCTCATCAGCTATGTAAGTTTTTATTTTAGGTTACTGTGGAGAAGGGGAGGCCTCGGTGGAGGACTGATGTGTGTTCAGAGTCGGAGCTTTCTGCAGAAATTCGAGTCCTGTTGACCCAGGGAGCAGGCCTTGACATCAGGCCCCGTGCATGAAGCAGTGTGATGTCCCAAGCAGTGGTGCTCTGACCACTTGCCATTTAGGTCCTGGTGCCAGCGGGAAGGTCTAGCATCAGCAGGTTGCCAGGGTGACTCTGTAAATCCATACTGGGGGCTTTGGAAACAGTTTTGCCTGTTTCTGGCCCTAGCCTCGTTTGACAGCAGAAGCCCAGGAGGCTTGTGCATGGGAGCTCTTGGTGGACAGCTAGCTCTGGGTGTCTTTCTGGGGCTGCTGTGACATGGCAGAGAGGATGCATAGCACAGGGGCCACTGGCCTGGGCTCCGGAGCAGACTCTGGGTGTGCATTCTGGCTTATCCAGTTAGCTCTGTGGCCTCAGGCAAGTCACTTAACCCTTCAGTGCCTCAGTTTCCCCATTCACCTATCATCAGGTTGTTCAATGATGAATAAATTAGTTTATGTAAAATGCTCAGAATGGTGCCTGGTACATACATAGTAAGTGCTTAAAAGTGTTAACTGCTGTTGCTAATGTCAACTGTCACTTTGAAGGCGGGGAGGTGTTGACACGGGTTCTTGGGGAAGCTGCATCAGTGTGCTCTCACATCACATGTGACACGTCGCAGGCATTCACGAGCCCAGAGGCTCCTGTTCCCCAGCCAGAGCCAGCCTCCTCTGCCAGGTTTGAAGTGAACCAACCTACTTTCCTCGAAAGCGCCTCCAGCCTCCGCAGACCATGCCTGAAACTGTCATTCCTAGGTAGGTGGGTTGTTTTGGAAGGAGTGTGAGGATGAAGGGGCTCCTGCAGCCCTTTGCTTCTTCCTTGGGTGGGGAATCTGAGCCCCAGACAGCATGAGGAAGCTGGTCAGGGTCCCCCCCAGCTGGTGTGAGGACCGAGTGGCCCCTGGGGTTCTGCAGGTAGCTTCAGGCCAGAACCCTTTCCCCATCCAGTGTTCAGTGGCCAGGAGATTATTTCCCAATTCCACCCTTAATCTTTTCCAGCTTGTCTTTGAAAAATTATACCGAGATATGGTTTTAAGTGCGTGCTGTTTAATTTTTTAATACTCTTATTGGCAATTGGATTTTTCAACATCTTGAGCTGTTACTATCTGAATATAGCGTGTTAATTTGAAAACTTTTCTGCAAGGTTTTAATTAGGAAATGTTCTTTCATTAGTTCAGTTTCTGGCTTGCTTTTGAAACTGCAGATGAGTGACAAGTGGAAGACAAATTAATAATTGTGGCAATGCAACAAAGCCCCCCTGTGAGGGCTGAGGACTAGTTCTGTCAATTAGAAAAGTGCTCACGTGGCTTTGCTGATGGCTCTAATTAAGACAACTCACAACTGGATTGCAGATCAATAGATACACTCTGTGATGATTTTAAGGAGGAATGACCTGTGTGAAAACCCACGTTTGGTCATGCTAACCATGACGAGGAAGGATGGCACAGTGGTTGGGAGCCTGGCCTGTCATGTTAGACCTGGTTCAGATCCTGCTGTTACTACGGAGTAGCTGTGGGACATTGGCTTGCGTTTCCTTGTCTGGAAAAGAGAGTTAGTGAGTTGATGAAGATGATGCTGACGAGCTTAGTGAGGACGTTTATTTGTGCTTGCTCTCCCTTCCTGCAGGTACTTCTGGGGCTGGTCTGGCTTGACTTCTCTGACCCAGGACGGGTCTTGCTTAGAGCAGACCTGCAGGTCAGTGGTGACATCAGGTGTGAATTTTTGGACTAGGAGTGTCAGTCGGGGTGCAGAGGCACCTGGTGAGGCAGGCTTTTCCATCCTTCTTCTCTAGTCCGTGTCCCTCCTTTGGGCAATGTGGAGTTGCCTTCAATCTGGGAAGGTCTCTGTTTCTTTGTGTAAGGTGAAGCTGTGGTGCTGAATGAAGCAGGTGTCACATTTGGGTTACATTTTTAAGGTTCTCTAATCGGTCAAAGTGCTGTGTAAGTTTCCAGGGGCACCGTAGAACAAAGCAGGCTTAATGGATTAATGGACATGATTGAGTGAGCTGATGGGTTGGTGATTTCATAGGTGTCTGGCTTTAAGCCCTGCCTTGCCTTTGCAGTTCCACAGCCATTCAGGCTGGTCATCTCTTCCTAGGGCCTCTGGAGTTGGCCTACCTTGGAGAGATCTCCAATGTGCCATTCCTCCTGCAGCCGACTCTCCTTATCCCTACTTCCTCAGTGCTGAGCCAGAGGAGAGTACCTTTTATCACTTCTGTATCATTTATTTATTTCGGGAAGGGAGTGTAGTGGCTGCCAGGAGAGGGAGGCACACATATAAATTGTGGACAAAGCCTAGAAACCTAGGCATTGCCCCTGCTCATAGGAAGTCATATGCATGGAACATACGCACTGGAGTGCTAGTTAGACAGCTGGGATGATAGAGCAGGGGATCCAGGCTGATACATCAGGGGAACTTGCAGAGAGAATAGGGGATCCAGGATGATAGAGCAGGATAAGGACAGCTGTGGATGGAGCAGGACGACTGGATAATGGAGCATGGAGCCAGGATGATGGAACAAGCAGCCAGGATGATGGACAGGGAGCTGGGATGATGGAGCCGGGAGCTGGGATGATGGAGCAGAGCAGCTGGGATGATGGAGCAGGGCAGCTGGGATGAAACAGCAGGGAGCTGGAATGATAGAGCACGGCAGTTGGGATGATGGAGGAGGGAAGCTGGGATGATGGAGCAGGGAAGCCGGGATGATGGAGCAGGGAAGCCGGGATGATGGAGCAGGGAGCCAGGATGATGGAGCAGGGAGCCTAGATGATGGAGCTGGCAGCTGGGATGACAGAGTGGGGAGCAGGATGATGGAGCAGGGAGCCAGGATGATGGAGCGGGGGGGCCAGGATGATGGAGCGGGGAGCTGGGATGATGGAGCAGGCAGCCAGGATGATGGAGTGGGGAGCCCAGATGTTGGAGCAGGCAGCCAGGATGATGGAGTGGGGAGCGAGGATGATGGAGCAGGGGAGCCGGGATGAGGGAGCAGGCAGCTGGGATGACGGAGCAGGGAGTGGGATGATGGAGCAGGGAGCGGGATGATGGAGCGGGGAGCCAAGATGATGGAGCAGGGAGCTGGGATGTTGGAGCAGACAGTTGGGATGATGGAGCAGGGGGCTGGGATGATGGAGCTGGGGGGCCCAATGATGGAACAAGAAGCCAGACTGATAGAACAGAGGAAATGATCTGAGAAACAACTTTGAAAGGTCACCTGCAGCCCCCTGATGCTTGCATTATGTTAAAATGTTTGAAAATTTAGAATCCTCATTTTAAGGCATTGATCTTTCCTTCAGAAAGCTGTCCTTGCTGTTAAACGGTGTCCGGAGAGTAAGGAGATGGTCAGCACTGAGCATTTAGTTTCTTCAGAGGAATGACAGTGGGGGTTACTCTGTTTTTACTTGGAGTATCTGGATTGTTCAGGACCAAGTAAAACTCTGTAAGAAAGGGTTGGAAATCCTGGTGGGCCTCTGTTAGCCCTTCCAATAGAAGGGGGCCGGAGGGGGCCCACTGTCTGTGTCCTTGGACCTGCATGCAAGCTGAAGGAAATGGTGCCTGCTGCACATGGAGGAGCTGGAGCCGTGGACAGGCCTGAGCTCATCTCCATCAGCACCCGGATGTTGGCGTACATGCCTGTGAAGGTGAGGGTCTGCACTTCCAGCAGCCCTCCCCCTTTGTATGTCACTTTGGACACCCGAGATTTCCCTGATTTGCCTGGAGCCTCTGTGTAATTTTTAATTTGATCCCCTGCGTCCCAGTGGACTGTGAGTGTCTTGAGGCCAGCACAGGCTTGGCCCCTCCCACAGCAGGGAGACAGTGGGGAGCCAGGCTAACATGGGCCCAGGGATGTATATTCTGGAAGGAGGGCAGGCTGGGGGACGGTCACGCCAATATCAGAGTGTGAAGTGGGGCTCCATGAGAGGTGAGTCCTCATCAGGAAGGGCCGAGGAGGGGACCTGTGGGCGAGGCCTGTTGACCAGAATGATCCAGTGTGGCAGAAGGCTGTCTGGGCTTGGAGAAGATCCTGTGCAGAGATCCTGGGGCCAGAATGAACTTGGCATGTCTGGGCAACCAAAGGAGGAGGGCAAGCTGGTGAATGGGACGTGAGGTCAGAGAGACAGCCGGGGGATGGTGAGCATTTAGGATCTGATTTTGTCTGCCCTGGCACTTCCTGTGTCTGGCTCAGCACCGAGACGTTGCTAGGTGAGGGAGATGAGGCTGAGACTGGTGGGCTCGGGGGAGAATGGCTGAGAGCCAGGGTTGTGGAGGGTCTGCCACATGGGGGACCATGCCTCACAGGTTCAAGGCATCCCTGGCCCCTGGCTCCCTCCTACTCTCCTTCAGCTGTTTGCCTGCTGGGTGACTCAGCTATGGGCTACCAAGTCATTTTGCCCTTTTCTGCTGGGATCTGCGTGCTGAGTCTCTGACTGGTAACATGCTGTGGTTTGGCAGCATGCTTGGGAGTTGACATCATTTCTGGGTGCAAGTCTGGCTTTTTCTCCCTGGTGCAGGGTGAACATGGGATTAGGGGAGACAAGAATGTCTGCTTTTTCGTCCAGACATGCTGCCTTGCTCTTGCAGCTGAACAGACCCCAGCTGTATTTGTAAGTTAAGCCCTTAAATCCTGTGCCCTAAAGGTGGAGGTGCCATTTCATCTCCGAGAAGTGGAGAAAGATTGTGCAGTGATGCTGAGGTACAGGAGAGAGCTGATGAGGAATAGAATGATCAGTTGTTTGTAAGCAATCTCCTCTCTTCTGGCTCTCTTTAGCAAAAGTTTTTATTATTAACTCTCCTTTCACCACTGCGGATGGCAGACATACCTGACGGCAAAACTGAAGCATACCCTGACAGTGACCCTGTGGGGCAGACACACCTGAATGTGTGTTTGGAGTTTTGAGCTAAGGAATCCGGGAGTGGCCAACCTGGAGATTCATTCCTTGTTTATGAGGAACATCTGAGCCCCTATCCTGTCCCGTGGAACACTGGGCATACAGATGAGCGAGGCCCTTTGTTTTGGGTTAAATGAAGGTTGCCCCGTGGAGGCTGTTAGAGGATGCTAGGTGGAAACTCTATTTATAAACCACAGGCTTCAAGCAGTTGCAGTTTTCCTGCCCAGTCCACTGCCACTGGGCCATCCCTGTGTACAGGTTTCCCACTCGTAAGCCCCTGTGTCTCATTTGCTGGCTCTGGGTCTCCTTCAGCTTCTTGGACCTGGTGCCGTCCCTGTAGGAGTTCATTAGGGGTCTGGCATGATCCAGTTCATCACTGGAAAATGGTTCTGAATGTAGGCGGTAATGTTTGTGATTGTCTAGGTTGAAGTCCGGGGCAGTCTACCTGTTTAGGCAAGATGCAGGATTAGGCATCTGAGGTTCTCTTATTCATTGCATTTTGGATCTTCTGGAGCTCCTCCTGGCTGGTTATTTTAATGCTCTATACCTTAGCCAACCACTTACAGAACTGTTTTGATAGGCCACTGACTTCTGGTGTAGACGTTGGGGGTGAAGGATGTTTGACAGATGGGACGGAGATGGATTTATGTTTGTGAAATGTTGGGGAAACCCGAGGCAATACCTGGAGCCCAGAAGAGTGGGCTCACCGTATGTCCACAGCTCTATCAGTGCCCCTAAGGTGATTGGAAACTGCTTGCTGACCTGCCTGGTTAAGGAACGAACTCGGGTTCCACCAGAAACGTGCTGAGAGATTTCCGTCCACCTTCATGGAATTCACAGAACAAATGACAAGATTTTAATCCAGGTCTTGGTATTCCTAGGGTGCCAGAGGTGAAACTGAGAAAATTTTGCTCTCAATTATTTGGCGAGTTTGTAGGTAGAGAATAATACGAGCTCCTGGAGGGCTGGAATCTGGAGGCATTTCAGCAAGGGTTTAGAAAGGGTGGGTGATGGTGACTAGGGATACAGCACGTTGCTCAGCTCTGGGCTGAGAGGTGGTTAGTTCAGCCTGACGACCCAGCAGAGCACCTCCTGGTCATTCTGCCGGCCCTTTATCTGGTGAGGTAGGGCAAGGAGGGAGTTGGAGTGAGGAAAAATGCCTAAGTCAAGGGAATAGAGGGAGGGCAAGATAAGAGATGGCCCTTGTGCGAGAACTGTCTGCATTGCTCACTCTTTGGAGATTGATGCTTTCTCCATTTTACAGTTTTTAGGGGGATGTTCTTACTGGCAAAGGAGGAAAACAGCTGTAAAGTGAGCAGTTTTTTTTTCCCCCGTGTGTTAAGGGAATTTATTTTCCTTTTCATTCTTTGTTCCTCCTTGGCTCACCCCTGCTCAGGACATAACTTTTGCAGAAATGAGGATTTTGCTGCAGCCTGAATCTCCTGGGTTGGATCTCTTAGAGCAATTAATAACTTGTTATTCATGTGTTCGGGGCACAGCCCTTTGTACTCAGTGGTGCGTCCGTCATGCTGTTTGTGCTATTGGGGACCACTAAGAGTGCTCTAGAAAGTTGGTGTGGGCAGTGCTGAGCTTTGGAGTCATGGAGTGGCTCAGGTGTCAGCCCTGCCACTTACCTGTGTGCCCTTAGACAAGTACCTTTCTATGTCTCTGTTACTCCTCTACGAGATGGAGTTTATCACAGGGTTTACTGCATGAAGCTGTCACAAGGGTTCAACAAGATGTTGCCTGGTGAGCACTTAACCCACACCAGGCACGTAGGGAGAAAGAGCTCAGTAGAGTGTGTGTGGGAGGGGTCTTCTTCCATCCCAGGGAGGGAGGTATTTCACCTGGGAAGGTCCTGGCTGGGAGCTGTCTTCTACCCCTTCTTTATGCAGCGGGCTCTAAGCCAGCATCTGGCACCGCCCTTTCCAAACCAGTGCACACTCTCCCCATAGGGAAGGGGCCTGGCCTGCTGGGGCATGCTTAGTTTCTGTATTTTAAGAGCTCCCTCATCTGATGACCGGTACTAATTACCGAATTTCACAAATGAAATATGTGCAGGGTGAAGGAATATGCCTGTTGATTGCACTCGAATTACTGCAGTAAAATTAAATTTCAAGGACTGCAGGAGCCTAAGATCCTTCTGCTGTCCTCCACTTCCCCCATCTTAATTGGTTTTCCTTGCCATCTGTCTTTCTTGCCTTTACTCCCCCATAACTGCCAGCCCGCACTGTTAACCAGCGGTTTTCAATCTGGCTGTACGTTAGGAACACCTGGGGAAAACTTTGAGCTGTAGATGCCTATCACCCACCCTAGACTGATTCAGTCAGAATGTCTGGCTGTGGGGCCCAAGTGTGTTTTAGAAAAAGCTCCCCATGTGTGAATGACTCTCACGCAGTCAGGTCTGGGGACAGCTGGTTAGGAAGGCGTCGCTGAGAGTCTCCATCTTTTGGGAGTAACTGCTGATGGTCATGGAGCCCTTGAATATCTGTTTGGACTTTTTGAGGGCTCTGAGCTTGAGCTTGGTCTTCTCTTTTGGAATACTTGGGTGTTTGCTTTAATATTCAGAGTTAAATATTGATGGGCATATAATGAAATGCCTACTGGATTACTGGACGATGCTTTTAGCTATGAGTACTTACTCTGGAAGCTCTGAGAATAATAAAAACGATGAACAGCAGATATTAAGTGACAGTTTAGAACAGAAGAAAAATACAAGTTTTCTTACAGGCTCTTGGCTAAATGAATATGGGGGTGGACTGGGGTATTCAGTAGTTGAGCAATCCTGGATTCTATTTTTCCATATTTGCATCTCCCCCCGCCCCCAATGTTTTTGCTTTATTTAACAATTTTTGGGGTAAAAACCATGTAACATAAAGTTTACTGTCTTAACCATTTTTAAGTGTACAGTTTTGTAGTGTTAAGTGTAGTCCTGTTGTGAAACTTTGTCATCTTGCAGATCTGGAACTCTGTATCCATTAAACAGTAACTCCCATTCTCACCAGCCCCTGGCACCCACCATTCTGCTTTCTGCCTCTGTGCACTTGACACCTCTAGGTGCTTCATGTAAGTGGAATCTTGTAATATTTGTCCTTTTCTGATTGGCTTGTTTTCACTAGCATGATGTCTTCAAGATTCATCTCTGTTGTTCTGTGTGACAGGGTTTTTTTTTTAATTCATTTTTATTGAGGTGAAATTCATGTAACATAAAATTAGCCATTGTAAAGTATACAGTTCAGTGACATTTACTACAGTTGTACAGCTACCACTTCTGTCTAGTTTTTTTTTTTTTTTCTTTGAGACAGAGTCTTGCTCTGTCACCCAGGCTGGAGTGCAGTGGCGCTATCTCGGCTCAGTGCAAGCTCCGCTACCCAGGTTCACCCCATTCTCCTGCCTCAGCCTCCCAAGTGGCTGGGACTATAGGGGCCTGCCACCATGCCTGGCTAATTTTTCATAGTTTTAGTACAGACGGGGTTTCATTGTGTTGGCCAGGCTGGTCTTGATCTCCTGACCTCATGATCCACCTGCCTCAGCCTTCCAAAGTGCTGGGATTACAGGTGTGAGCCACCGCGCCCGGCCACTTCTGTCTAGTTTTAAAACATTTTCATCCAAATGGAAACCCTATGCCCATTAAGCAGTTGTTCCCCATTTCCTCATCTCCCCAGTCCCTGGCAACCACTAGTGTACTTTCTGCGTCTGTGGATTTATCCATTCTAGATATTTCGTATAAATTGACTCAAGCACTGTGTGTCCTTTAGTGTCTGAGTTCTTCCACTTGCCATAGTTTTTGAGGTTCATTCAGGTAGTGGCATGTATCAACTTTCCCCCCCGACAGTTTTTATTATGGTAAAATACATATAACAAAACTGACCATTTTAACCATTTCTTTCTTTCTTTTTTTTTTTTTTTGAGATGGAGTCGCTCTGTGGCCCAGGATGGAGTGCAATGGTGTGATCTCGCCTCACAGCAACCTCCGCCTCCCGGGTTCAAGCGATTCTTCTGCCTTAGCCTCCTGAGTAGCTGGGACTACAGGTGCACACCACCATGCCCGGCTGTTTTTTGCGTGTGTGTGTGTGTGTTTTTAGTGGAGATGGGGTTTCGCCATGTTGGCCAGGCTGGTCTTGACCTCAAGTGATGTGCCCACCTCGGCCTCCCAAAGTGCTGGGATTACAGGTGTGAGCCGCAGTGCCCATAACCATTTCTAAGTGAACAGTTCAGTGACATTGTGTTCACATTGTTACCACCATCCGTCTTTAGAACTCTTTTCATCTAGCAAAACTGATACTCTGTACCCAAAAAACAGTAACTCTCCATTCTCCCTCCCTGCAGCCACTGGCGGCCAGGGTTCTACCTTCTGTCTCTGTGAATTTGACTCTTCTAGGTAGCTCATGTAAGTGGAGTCATTCAGTATTTATCCTTTTGAATTGGCTTATTTCACTTAGCATAATACCTACAAGGTTTATCCATGTAGCATGTGACAGGATTTCCTTTCTTTTTAAAGCTGGGTAATAGTTCATTCTATGGACATACAACGTTGTGTTTATACATTACGCTGCTAACACGTGCAACACATTTGCTATTCATCCTACTGTGAACACAGGTGTGCACATTTCCCTTCGAGACCCTGCTTTTCATTCTTTTGGGAGTACACCTGGTGGAACTGCTGGATCATATGGGAGTTCTGTTTTTTAATATACTGAGGAACCTCCATACTGCTTTCCACAGTGACTACACCAATTTTACATTCCCACCAACTGTACACAAGGGTTCCAGTTTCTCCACATCCTCACCAATACTTGTTATTTTCTGTTGTTTGATAGTAGCCATCCTAATGGATATGAAGTGGTATCTTGTGATTTTGATTATCATCTTTTTTTTGGATGAGGGAAAGTTTGACCCCATATGTGGGTGTCTGTCACCAAGATAGAATGAATGTAATTTCCAAGGAAAAATAATCCCAGGCAACCTCTTCTGGATTATGTCCCAACTGATTGGAAATGCTGGGAACTTTCTGTGGTTGAAGGACCTTGACATTTGTTGTCAAACTGCCTGTGAGTCACTTATCTTCTGGGGGAAAATAAACATAACCGTGTCTTCCAGTCTGAAGTGGGGTGGGTGGGTGATATGAAGCATTGCACACAGCAGAGCCTGCTGCCCCTCCACAGCCTCTGCAAATGCCGTGTGAAGGTGGTGGACCTGCTACCAGAACTGGTGTCCTGCTGTCTCTGTAGTTAACTCTTAGGAGAAATAACGGTTGTGTGTGTGGAGGTGAAGAATGGGAAGGGAAGGAGGGGTGGGGAGGGCTGGTGCTTCTGAGGTTCCCAAAGTTCCTGGACTCGAATTTTCTGTTGGCAAATAAGCTGGTCAGAACTTAGGAATGTGGTAAGTTGATCCAGGAAGAAGTTGAAGGTTTCTATCTGTGTTTTTCTGTGCGGTTGTGTATGTGTAACACGTTTGCAGAAATAGTTGAAGCTTATTATTTTCTTCAAAAGATCTTATTTTCTAGTGTGTAAATCACAGGTAATTAAATATGAGTTAAAGTAAGAGAGAGACCCTTGGGCTATCTCAGACTTAGCTTTGAGAGAGAGAATGATCATGGGTCTAAGGCATCACTCTTGGTTTTATAGGTTTGGAAACTCAATGTTATTAGTTCCATCTAGGAGTTATCAATGGGGGATTGGGGTTTACATGCATCAGAATTGTAAGATACTGCTAAGAATGACAGTTCATTAATTGATGAGAACTGTGCCTCGCTGAGAAAGCCAGCACTCCTGGGGTGTGTGTACTCCGCAGACCTTTTCTTTTGTTTGTTTCTTTCTTTCTTTTTTTTTTTGAGACGGAATCTCTGTTGCCCAGGCTGGAGTACAGTGGCACGATCTCAGCTCACTGCAGCCTCCGCCTCCTGGGTTCAATCTATTCTCCTGCCTCAGCCTCCCAAGTAGCTGGGATTACAGGTGTGTGTCACCACATACTAATTTTTTGTATTTTTTTTTTTTTTAGTAGAGACAGGGTTTCACCGTGTTGGCCAGGATGGTCTTGATCTCCTGACCTTGTGATACGGCCACCTTGGCCTCCCAAAGTGCTGGGATTACAGGTGTGAGCCATTGTGCCCGGTCCTCAGCAAACCTTTTCTATCGGCCTATTTCTATCTATTTTCTATCGGCCACCTTTTCTATTGGCCTATTTCCATCTGTCTGAGGAATCTTGATGCATCGGCCTTCTCGTTCTGGGGATCTTTCTGTGTATAGAATCAATACCCTCTCCTTAGGGTAGTGATGGAGATTGATTTTTCAAAAATCCCAACATGTAATTTATGAAATTATTGTTTCAGCTCCAGACTCTGTGCTCTGTTCTGCAGTGTTGGAGCTAGGACCGCACATCCCAGCTGCTTTGCCAGTGGCTTCCGGGCCACCTCCATCAGCAGGAGGCGGTAGAAGCACCAGCAAGATGGGGCTTTGGTCCTTCCTGTTGGCTTCCTGTTGCCCCAGCTGTAGCTGTTGAATTCAGTCTTCAGTTATCCCAGCACTGGCCAGCCAGCCTCATCGTCCACACTCCCTGCAGATCCCACCACTCCTCCAAGGAAGTCTCTACCTCAGGGCCCTTTGGCTACGCTTCTAAGGTTAAGTCTAACCGGTTCCCTCAGGCCTAGGGGTGGTGGCTGCTTCCTGTCGTTGCTACTTCCCTGATATCTAGAATTTTCCTTTTTCTACCCAGTTACCTGGTTACTGACTTTCTACCCAGTTAACAATTTATATTAAAGCCCTTCTGTTCAAAAAGCTTATGTAGTTTCTGCGTTCTAATTGGATCCTGACTAATACATCTGACTTTCAACATTCTTTAGTAATCAGTCAGCAAAATGATTTCATGAGATAGACGTATTATATTTAATTGGATTACAGTTCACCTTATATTCCTTTAGTTTTTTTTTTTTTTTTTTTTGCACTGATCTTTCTGATTTTCGTTAGGCTCGTCTATGTAATTTGAGACATAACTCCTCTCATTAGCTACTTTCTAAATCATCAGACTTGAGTTCTTTCCTGGAAAGATCACCACAGATGGCTAATGTCATTCATTTTGTTGGCTCTTTTGGCTTTATAGTAGAGGGTGACAATTCTTTTGTTTTTGGTTTTTTTTTTTGAGCTGGGGTCTTGCATGACCTCACTGCAACCTCTGCCTCCCGGGTTCAAATGATTCTTCTGCCTCAGCCTCCTAAGTAGCTGGGATTACAGGCACGCGCCACCAAGCCTGGCTAGTTTTTGTATTTTTAGTAGAGATGGGGTTTCACCATGTTGGCCAGGCTGATCTCGAACTCCTGACCTCAGGTGATCTGCCTGCCTCGGCCTCCCAAAGTGCTGGGATTACAGGTGTGAGCCACCGCACCTGGCCAAGGGTGACATTTCTAAACCTTATCTCTAAATTCTGTGTCCATTATTCAGTATTCCTTTAACTTGTAGAGCATGGCTATTACGTGTTTAAGCAACATATATCTCTAAAAAGATTCGAGGCCGCTTATAAGAGAAAGTATATTATGTGTAAGCACAGATTCATTAAAATAAGAGTTTAAAAATCTGGGGTCAAATTTAGGGGGTAGAGGGGATGAGGGATAAAAAGGTGAAGGAAAAAAGAAGTGGATGGAGAATTAAAGAATGAAGGAGAATTAACACTGAACACCCACCCCCATGGAGCCGGATCCTGGCTAGGTGTTTGCCATCTGTGTTTAGTTTAATGCTCAGCATAATCCTGCGTGGCAGGTATGTTACCCCCATCTATAGGTCAAGAACCTGAAACCCAAAGTGCTGGCCGATTGTGCTCTAGTCCCCCTATACATTTCAGCTTACGTCTACTGACACTAAGCCAAGGGGAGCTCCTTCAGTTGAACGTGCAATTGTATCTTGGTAGCCAAAGCAAGAAAGGAAGCATGTTGGGTTGCATAGTTCTCATTTGATAATACAATGAAACATTTTCTTGAGAGAGAGAAACATTTTCTTAGCCTTCAAGCTTGATAAGAATCTAGTGGATATTAACTTAAAGGGCACTGAACATGATAATAGTGTCCGTCAGGGGGAGAAATAACAGAAACCAAAAGCAGAGATGCACACGTGGCCGTTTATTTAAATCAAACCTGAAGCAGAAGGAGGAGCATTAGATCACAGTTGTGTAAAGGCAATTCTAGGAGAAAACGATGGACTGTAGCTAGCTTTCTGCAGTCCTGACCTGGCCAAGGGTAAAACTAGATCGGCTGCGGGCTGTGTTCCCTGGGCTTCCTGCTGCTTCACTCCTGGGAGGCAGCACAGAGTGGTTGTTACGGGGAAGGTTTTCATAAGTGCTGTGAATCCACCCTGGGCCGTTTACTGGCCTTGCACATGTGGGCAAGGTACGGTCAAGCTCAGCATGATGACATTTTAGCCAATGACAGATCGAATACCCAATGGTGGTCTCATAAGATTATATACTGTATTTTTACTGTACCTCTGTGTTTAGATACACAAATACTATTATGTTATAGTTGCATACAGTATTCAGTACAGTAACAAGCAGTCCAGGTTTGCAGCCTAGGTGTGTAGTAGGCTATACCACCTCGTTTTGTGTAAGTGCATGCTATCATGTTGCCACAATAATGAAATCACCTAAGGGCACATTTCTCAGAAGGTATCCCTGTCATTAAGCAACACATGACAGTACTTAATCTCTCTAAGCCTTAGCTTCATCCCTTCTTAAATGAGGGTAATAATACTGTTTCGTCCACCTGTGTGTGTGTGTTTGAGATAGGGTCTCGCTCTGTTGCCCAGGCTGGAATGCAGTGGCACAAACATCACTGCAACCTCGATCTCCTGGGCTCAAGCAATCCTCCTGCCTCAGCATCCTGAGTAGCTAAGAATACAGGTGTGTGCCACCATGCTGGCTAATTTTTTTTTTTTTTTTTTTTTTTTTTTGGTAGAGATTGGGTTTTGCTATGTTGCTCAGGGTGGTGTCAAACTCCTGGCTTCAAGTGATCCTCCCACCTTGGCCTCTTAAAATGCTGGGATTACAGGCATGAGCCACCATGCCTGGCCTTATTTTTATATATTTAAGAACATATGCTTTCGGCCGGGGTGGCAGCTCATGCCTGTAATCCCAGCACTTTGGGAGGTCGAGGCGGGTGGGAGGCGGGTGGATTACCTGAGCTCAGGAGTTTGAGACCAGCCTGGCCAACATAGTGAAACCCCCCTCTCTACTAAAAATACAAAAAAATTAGCCAGGCGTGGTAGCAGGCACCTGTAATCCCAGCTACTTGGGAGGCTGAGGCAGGAGAATCACTTGAACCCGGGAGGCGGAGGTTGCAGTGAGCTGAGACTGCATCACTGCACTCCAGCCTGGGCAACAAGAATGAAACTCCGTCTCAAACAAAAACAAAAACACCATATGCTTTCCCAACACATCTGGACAGCTGATATTAAAAAAGGGTGTATGTAGTAGAATTAAAACTATTACAAGAGAAACAGAGCCAGACAGTTTGGGGAAGGGAGAAAACAGAGAGGTTGTGGGGGCACTTACCTTGAATCTTCTTAGGTCCCTTGTGTGTTGTTTTGCCTAATCCTTCCCACACGTCTGCAAAGAGGATGATCTCCCCACGTAGAGACAGGAAGCGGATTCCGATACCTCGCCTTCCCTGTGTTAGATGTGCCGTAGCTCCTACTGAGGGTGAGGATTAATTGGAGATGATGCAAGTGGACCTCTAAGCACGGGCCGCGATGATGTCGTAGTTCACGGTCACAGGACTGTCACTGCTGTTACAAACTGGCCCTTCTGCTCCGAGTCTGCTGGTCCTCATACGGTTCCTTTCTGTCTCTGGTTGTGTTGGTTAAGACAGAGTAGCTGCAATCAGGGAGAGTGTCGACCCTGACCCCAACAAGCAGGGAGAGCTAGTGCAGAATGTGGGCAGTGGCAGCAGACCCGCGGGGCTGTGACACTGTCCTTTCTGTGGCTTGGGTGGACTTCAGGGTGACCCATCTAGCAGAGTAAAAATAGTAACCCCACATGCTGACCATGTACCCCCTGCTTTCACGCACTTTTATGGGTGAATTCACCTATCCGTTATAGAAACTCCATGAGGCGTTTTTATTATCCCCATTTTACAGATGAAGCTGTCAGGGAGAGAGGTTGAGTTGCCGGCAGTCTCACATGTAGAAGTGGTGAAGTGGGAATTCAGACCCACCCCTGCGGGCTCCTCAGCCAGGCCTGCTCTTAGCATCCCAGTGTGCTGCTCTGTGACGAGCCCCAGTATTGGGATCCACTCTCCAGATGAGGTTTGAAGAGTTCCGAAGTGGAACGTCTTTCTGGGTTGGCTGGCTGTAGAGGGGTTGGTGACTCCAGTGTCCTGTGGTGGTAGACAGTCTCCAGCCAAGGGCATGTACTTCTCACCTCCCTGCCTCGTGAATCTGGTCAGTCTGGTGTCAAACTTGAACCAGTAGACTGCTGTGGATGTGACACTGGGCGTGGTGCAGGCTCTGTCCTTGAGGGGCCTGGTAGCCCCACCTGGGTCCCCTGGGGCCCAACTGCCATGCTAGAAGACGTCCAGGCTGCTCTGCTGGAGAAAGAAACCGTGTGGGGTTGCCTGGAGGGTGAGACATGTTGGAGGGGAGGGAGGGAGAGGCCAAGGCCTCAGACAGGTGAGAGAGCCCCAGCCGCGAGGCACCTGTGGTCTCACCATGGGACATAAGAACTTGTTTAAGCCATGACGTTTTGGGAGGGCTTTTGTGCAGGAATGGCACCCGGAACTCCTGCTTCCCATGAACCCAGGGCTGTGGGCCTGGCTGCTGGGAGTGAGCCATTTGCTGGGCCAGGGATTTGCCCTGCTGCAGGGACTTTTCTAACCCAGCCGGGCCAGGCTCACCTGGGGGCCCTTTTGATTTTGAGAGGACGCATACCTCAGCCTGCATTTTGGTGTCCTCTTGCTAGCACCTGCCAGCTGAGGTTGAGCCATGGTGGACAATTTTTCCTTTTAAGACGATTCTAGTTACTGAACCAAAGATATTAATTATGTGCTTATCTGTGGTAATTACAACTAAAGCATTCTTTATCACTGCAGCTTAGTCATTTGCTTACGTGATTTAAATGTGATATATGTTAATATGCATATCTCGTCAAAGGGAGTCATGGGGGTGGCATGGTTAGAGCATGCTGGCTGAGGGCAGGAGGCCAGAGGTGTCTGCGTCTCCCTCGTCCATCTCGTTCTCCCCTCCCGCCTTCCTTCCCCTTTCCCCTCTCTCCCTTCTTTCTGTCCCACCAGGATTTCTTTAAGGTTTGTGTTTCATCACCATCATCCTGTTTGAAAGTTTTTTTTTGTTGTTAATCCATCAGTCTTTCTCAATTCATAATTAATTTCTTCCAACCTCCCTCCCTGCTCCCATCCTTGGCAGCCTGGGGGCAGCAGGTTGGGAACTACCACCAATGTTGCACCTTCTTAATATTCTTTTATGTATCTCTTCTCAAAGATAGAATTAGTTTGGTCTGAATTATACATACAATCATAGAATCAAAGTGACTTGAAACTTAGAAGGTGCATTTTCTTTTAGGGTTTAATTCACTCAGAGGTCCTCCAACCCAGCCTCTCATTCAGTAAAGACTTCCCTTCAGCAACAGATGGTAAATAGATTCTGCAGAATGAGTAATTCCTTCATTTCTGTCTGAATGGTTTGTTTAGAAGCAAACACAATGATTCCCTCTCCTTATTAAATTTGTTGGGAGAACATCAGGATCATACTAAGTTACTGTCCAAAGCTACAACTGTGAAGAGGGGGTGCACGGTGACAAAAAAGAGAAATGTCGCTTGACATTTCAGAATTCAGGCCCAGTATCATCGGTGCCCTCATAACATTACACGCCAAACCCTTTAATAAAACTGTCAATCCAGATTGTTAAAACACTGAGCGGTTTGCTCAGGAGATAGAATATTTATCATACTGAGGTTCCCAGTTTTTAATGAGCCAAATATATTTCCTTATTTTTTTCATGATCTTTAATTTATCAACTTAACCATTTTTAAGTGTACAGGTAAGTGGTATTAAGTACATTCATATTATTGTGCAGCCATGTCCACCGTACATCCACGGAGCTCTTTCAACTTGCAGAACTGAGACTCTGTGCCCATTAAACACAACTCCCACTCCCCACTCTCCCAGCTCCTGGCAACCACCATTCTACTTTCTGTCTCCGAATCTGACTACTCTAGATACTTCTATTAGTGGAATCATACAGTATTTGTCCTTTTGTGACTGGCTCATTTCACTTAACATAATGTCCTCAAGATTCATCCCTGTTAGAGCGTGTGTCGGAATTGCCTTTTGAAGGCTGAGTAATATTCCATTTTGGAGGCTGAGTAATATGTACATGTGCACATTTTGTATATCCATTTATCTGTCAGCTGACTTTTGGGTTGTTTCCGCTTTCTGGATATCATGACTAGTAATGCTGTTCCTCACATTTTAACATTCAAATGACACATCATAATTTCATTTATTCTTGATATCTCAGGAAAATTTTAAATACCGTTTAATAGTGGAGAATTATGGTAACACGCACCAAATGTACATTATATTTTTAATTGCTTGGCAATTTGGGACAACTTACAAATTCTGTCTTTAGGTTTGGTCGCTATACAACAGATAATGCTGCTATTTCTGCTTTAGTTTCAGGGATCAAAATGAGTTAATACGTATGAATGTCCTTTGTAAAGAGAGAATGTAAATGTTTGTCGATAGAACCAGAATACATTCTGAACTTTCTTGCTTGTATTCTGGGTAGGTAGACATTTAAAGTAGAGATTTGGCATAACTTAGTTCTTCCAGAAACTTCAAGCACTTTACACTCACTCTTTTTAGCCCAGGTTTGAATTATGTGGGGTCATTCATGGGGTTTATGAGGTTTGAAGACATACTTAAATAACATGTGGGTTCTCTAGAATGAATGTGGAAGGAAACATTGTACTCCTGTGGAATGCTGGCACCCTAACAGGAGTGACTTTCTCTTTTCTCTCTCTTTTCTCCTTTTGGTCAACTCTGTTTGTATGTAGTGTGAGCTCTATACTGTGGGATAGCATTCTTTTTAGAATGCATGCATGTGAATTGTGTAGTGCAGAGATTTGCTATATCCATTTCCAGAATGTACATATTGAACACTGTTTTGCGAAAGGCAGGTCTATGCAAACTACCCCAAAGTCCGAGGAAGCTGAGAGGCTGAAGGAAGAGCCTGACAAATCCCGTTTCTTAGAAAGAAACATTTAATAGAGACCTACAAGCAGAAGCCGCATCTGTGTCTAGGGCAGCGGTAAGACGAGATGGGGGAGCCCCACGCCATTACCCCCCAGACCCAGGGCTTCTATGCCATAGCGGGGAGGGAGGAGTGGTTCCAAAGGGATACGTAGGACAATTGAAGTAAGATAACATCAAGGTTGTTTGATCTGAGGGCAGGATTTACTGTAAGCACCTGCTCTTACACAGGAATAGTAGATAAATGGGAAGTCTTAGAGGCCTTCTTGGATAGGGGGTTAATCAGAAGCCAACGTGGCAGATTAGCATCCAAGATGGAGTTGCTTTAGCCTCCACAAGCACTGACTGTATGCCAGGAGTTGACCATGATGTGTTATGAGGCACTGGGGAATTCATTCCTATATGAATCTGGGTGATTGACAAGAAATTCTAGTGGAAGTGACATGTAGGTTGAGCTGTGCATTGAGCGGGCTGGTCACGTGCCCCCCTTTAGATGTTCCCGATCGCGCGGAATCACGACATGAGAGGATGAGATCAGAGTTCTGTCAGCTTCATGTAGCCAAGGACTTTCAAGTTCTTCCTTGAGGAGTTGGCCCTCCCTAGTCTCCTCTGTTACACCAGTCATTGCTACGTTAGCAGCTTTGCAAAGTAGGTATCACGCTCCATGTGCTCTGTGCCTGCTGTTGGCCTGAAGCATTGTCATGGCCTTGCCCAGGTTTGCTTTCCTTAAGGGCACCATTTGGTCCCTTTTGTCAAACCCATTTGCTTACACAGGCTGCTGCACTATTTCTATGATTGCAATTCCAGAGTTTCCGAGTCCCGGGATGGGGGTGTCTGATGTTAGTAGCATGCCATGGTCAGATGTCTTGGGGAATCTGGGGGTAAGCATAGTTGAATACACTCTCTGCTGCAAGTTTCTCAAAAATGTGAATACACCAATGGTGTTTCATGAATCCACCAAGACCATACAGCACTATAGCTTTGCCTGGAGAGTTTTCTCTCCTCAGCAAAGCTCTCCACCTGTCCCAAGCTGTGATTCCCAAGAAATGCCAGCTGGGAAGCCTGGTTTGAGGGTAGCATATGCTCCATTGCCATGGCCAAGTCAGTACAAGCCTTTTAGCAATGGTGCGTTCCCTCAGAAGGTTTGCTGTGGCCCATTTAGCCATATTTTGGCTTTGGTTCCTGGAAGGGAGGTGTCTGCCTTCTTCCTAGTGGTGTGCTGCCCACCAGGCATGCCCAGTGGCTCATCTGTCTCTGCAGATAGCTTGGCTGAACCCAAAAGGGCTCAGTCCTTCCTGTGGGCTTGATGCCTGTAGGAAGGGCCAGTCTTGTCCCCATGTCTGCAGTGTGCCACAGCCTCCTTTCCAATTTGTTTCCATTATAGGATTATGAGACCTCCTGACTCTAAGGAACTGTTTTATCTGGGGCTTGGTGTTGCGGGCACAGCACCTGTGAATAGTTAATGACATTTTTTATTCCCAACCAAGACCTAGGCTCCTTTAGGGCAAGGGCCAGTGTTGATCTGAGGATATATTCCCAGCTTCTCACACAGTCTGTGGTGCAGACTAGGAGTTCCATAGATCGTTGAATGAATGGTTTAAAAAATGAAGGGATCAAGTCCTGGAAGTGGTTTTAATTTGCTGTGACTCCAGGTAGCTTGCTTAAACACTCTATGTTTTCTAAATTTTAAAATAGAGCTAATATTTCTCAAATGGCTCCATAGGACATTGGTGACACTCAGTTCTGCACCAGCTCTTTGCCTGGTAATGTGCAGGATGGGGGATGCCCAGGGTATCTTTTTATTCCTTTTTTTTTTTTTTTTTTTTTTTTTTGAGATGGAGTCTCGCTCTGTTGCCCAGGCTCCCAGGCTGGAGTGCAATGGCGCGACCTCGGCTCACTGCAAACTCCGCCTCCGGGTTCAAGTGATTCTCCTGCCTCAGCTTCCCGAGTAGCTGGGATTACAGGCACCTGCCACCACACCCGGCTAATTTTTGTATTTTTAGTAGAGACAGGGTTTCACCATGCTAGTCAGGCTGGTCTCGAACTCGCCACCTCAGGCGATCTGCCCGCCTCGGCCTCCCAAAGTGCTGGGATTACAGGCGTGAGCCACAGCACCCGGCGTTTTTATTCTTAAAATAATCCTGTGAGGCGTATGTAGTGTTCACCTGATTTTGTAAATGTGTAGGCACAGGGAACCGAATAACTTGCTCAAGATCACAAAGGCTTTAAGTTTGAGAAGTGCAGTGAAAATGCGGGGCTGCTTCACTCCAAAGTCGATGTGTGTATATGTACATATAAGTGTATATGCATGTGTACATGTACATATAAACAAAAGTACACATTTAGGAAGTGTATGGGAAATATACATGTACACATGCGTATACAGTCATAAGGACGTTTCAGTTAACAGTAGACTGCATATATCACAGTGGTCCCGTAAGATTATAATCTTGTATTTTTACTGTATCTTTTCTATTTTAGATAACAAATACCATTGTGTTACCTACAGTATTCAGGACAGTCACATGCTATACAGGTTTGTAGCCTAGAAGCAGTAGGCTGTACCATCTAGCCTAGGTGTGGAGAAGGCTGTACCATTTAGTTTTGTGTAAGTACACTCTGATCACACGAGCAAGAAATAGCATAATGATGCATTTCTTAGACCAGATCTCCATTGTTAAGTGATGCATGACTGGATATACACATACACATATGTGTATGCCTGTATAGATGCGTGTATTCTACATACTCCTAAATGTGTCATATGGCAAGGGTGCCTCATTGTAATTCTGGCTTTTTCCATAAATGTTAAACAAGCATCTTCTCCCACCGCCAGTCCTTTTCTTCCTTCAAGGGGACAGGGCCTCTGGAGCTTATGCCCAGCTCCTGTCGGATGCCCCCGTGTTCTGGTCACTCGTGTGCCCGTCTCTTCACACTCAGTTTTCCCACCCCTGAGCACCTCAGGTGCCAAGGTGTGTTTGTTGAACTGAAATTCTTAAGCCTGCTGAGTACATTCTCAGTTTGTCAAGACAGATAAACAAATACCTTTTTTAGATGATTTAAAAGATTCTTGACACAGTCCCAGTGGTGTTTTAACAACTTTTCAGGTCCTGATCAGCCAAACTCTGGGCCAAAAGTAAATGTTTAATAAACAACATAAGAGTGATGGAGGAAAAATGTATCTTAAGTGGAACTGTGTGTTCTGTAAATCTATGACAGATTACTGTTCCTGCTTTTGTTGTGTATAATTATTCTTGTTCCTCCTGAGAATTGCCCTCTCTTTCATCATGAAACGTATAAGATGGCCTCCTCCTCTGGTAATTTGGAGCAATTGGCCTGGGAGAGGATTGATGTGTAGTAAGGACAGTCCGTAGGAGAGATTTAGTGGGGGCAGTTTCCTTATCTTCTATTCTGTCCCTTTGCCAGACAGAAGCACAAAAAGTAGTTGGACTGAAAATGCTGCTTCCTAAAATTAGCTCTCCTCTTTGTTTTCCGAATGGTTTTACTGGTTGATGCGGGCACAATTTGCCCTTCTTGGGGAGCCTTCTGCATTGTGTAAAGTGCAAAGACACATCTATCAGAGAAGCTAATTTTAGGTGCTAGTAAGTTTTAAGGGCATGCAAAGCTCAAAACTTTGCCTGTTCTCTTGGAAGAAGATTTTTCCCTCCTGAAAAACAAGCTTCCTTTCAAAGTCAGAAAAGGGGAGCTTAGACGAAGCCCCAGGAGGGCAGGTATGTCTTGTTCACTGCAGTCTCCAGTGCCTTGCGAGGGCCCGGCATGCTGAGCGCTCAGTAACCCTTGGCCTAATGTACAGTTTTTCATTCTGTGAATCAGGAATAGAGCAACATAAGGGGAGCTTCTGCTTGAGACAGCAATGGCAGCATCAAAATAAACGTGGCAATTTTGGTCTTCAAGAGTGAAGTTGTGTCTCTGAAATTGTAAGCCCAAATGGATCATTTCCTTTTTTAGGTTTTAGAATTCCAGGTTTATTTTCTGGAAGAGCTTGCAGCAGATGGGCTTCTGTAGGGGAACGTTTATACCTTGGGGGTTCCGTTTCGAGAGTCCTTGATTTATTATTGTTTACAAATGGTGGTTGGAAATTGTTCATTGATTTGACATAAAGCTGCCCAGGCTTATTGTAAAAACACCTCTGCATCCAATTAGAATGACAGACACTTAGTGTGATGACTCAGGACAGTTGATGGCCTTAAAAAAAAAGCGAACAGATTAAATCACTCTCTGTTTTTTCATAGCCATTGATGGAAACAGATTCTGTGGGGTAAATAACAGAGTCTTGGGTGGTGGAAAGGTTGAAGATGTCCAGTAGTTGTGGCAGGGCAAGGATGGAGGACTTTTTCTTTGCAGGGGCAGTGGAGAGGCGGGGCCATGGGTGAAGACTGGAGAATACTCAGAAGGTAGCATGGACGAGAGTGTTGTTTGATGACTCTGCATGTGACCAGTAGTGACATTTTACTCACTGAGGCTCATATTGAGGTTAAGCCCGAGGTCCATTGGCCTTGCTGAGATCGTGTTTAGAACACAGCACTGTGCAGTAAGAGACTCCTATAACTCTATCAAATTTGCATTTGGAGGAATTGTAAAGAGCCTCTGTTACCTCCTAGGTGAGGCAGTCCAGGAAAACAGTTGCTAGAAGGAGCTATCTGCAGAAATAGACAGTTGTGGTCCTTTCATGTTTTAATAATTGTTCCCTGGATTTCAAGGAGTCAGTCCAAAATCCCCGTAATAGATTTTAGTAACGTTCATGGAATCTCAGTTTGCACATCATGAGACCTTTAGTGTGGTGTTTACTGTCTTCACCTTAATATACTTTGTATCCATGAGCAACCTTGCTACAGTCATGCAAAGATGATTATTTTTTATTCAGCAATAATTAGCCACAGTGTTGAGCACCCAGATGCCTTCCTGCAGCAGCCCCCCTTTTCTCCCCAGCCAACATCTGCAACTGTGAACAGATTTCCATCTTCAGCCTTGGTGGTTGGAAAGAAATGTAAGTCACCTTTTTTTCTGGTTGGTTCTGGGGCAGATGCCACCAGGCTGCAGAGGCAGTCTGTGTCTGTGGGGCTCACCAGGGCATGAGTTCTGCTCCCAGGAAAGAGATTCTTGCAGGATTTTGTCTGTGGTTCTAAGGAGACAAGTAGGTGGCACACAAAAACAGAAAATGAAAGAACCCATCCCTCCAAAACCACACACACAAAGCCAAAAGGAAAAAAAAAAAGCACATAATTATCATGTAGGCACTGTTGCAGCTAACCCTGATTTTGGCCTCAATTCTGAAACAAGTTAGCTGGTTTAGACAAACCCCTTATTAGGTAATGGATTGTTATTCATTCCTCCCCTTCTCCTAGTCATTTACTCCGTGAGAGCTGCTCCTACCTGACCTTCCACTGATTTTGGTAGCAGCATCTCCCAGAGCGACTGTTTCCTTCTTCAGCAGTGTTCCTTACTCAGGGTGTAAGATCTTAACCCCACAGAGCCCCGTATCAGGTTTAATTAACTAATTGATTCAGCTTGTGCTTACTGAGTGCGAGGCAGTCATGTGCTTCTGTTTGGTAAATGGCTTCATTTTCCCTCTAACTCCTGAGCGTCCTGAAGCTTCTCTTATGGTTCTCTCCAAAGGAGTCAGCAGGCTGGCTCTGCAAGGGTCAGTAGGTTCTGGGGTGGTGGGGGGCCGAGGGAGGCAGGGAGGTTGGCTCTGTCTTTATTTGGCATAGAGCTCCCCGAACAGGGTCTCTCCTCCTTTCTCCAAAGGTTAATGGAACCACTATCTTAAAAAGCTGAAATCTTATCTTCTGGGGTATTTGGGTAGAGAAGGCTAGGGAATCCCTTTTCCATGGTGGTGCAGTAGGTTCTCAGAACCAGCTGGTGGGCCTCAAAGAGAGGCGGCTGTATTTTAGCCTGATAATCTTGATTCCTGGTTTCCTGGCTCTGTAGCATCAGAAATGGGAAGCTTTAAAAGCCGTGCCTTGTTGGATGCACCGAGTCATAAAATAAATGTGATGTGCTGGGTGGGGGAAATGCGGGAGGAGGGAAACAGGTGGTTGGAGCTGCTTCGTGATGGCCGCCCACCCTGGCTCTCCTTTCTTAATAGGCTTCAGAAATCCTGGAATGCGTAATTCACCAGCTCACAGAGTTCCACCCATGTCCCCAGTGGCTTCAAAATGTAAATGACATTTGCAGTGCTGGGAGGTAGGAGGGCGATCCCGTTCCTTCCCTGGATCTCAGTCGCAGAGGTGCTGGCTCATGTGCCTGAGTGCAGCGGCTGGCCCGTCATTACTGGTCTTTGCAGGAAGCCACTCTGAAGGCACCTGGGCCCTTGCCAGGCTGAGTCACAGCTGACTTAGGGAAATGCCACACAGGACGCTTGCAGTCCCCCCGTTCTAAGCGTAGGTTTTGCAACTGCATACTCGGAAAATGAATCAGAGTGGGGGAAAGTGTCAGAGAAACAGCAGAAATGGAATGTAGGCAGGAGGGCCACAGTGGCGCTGTGGATTCAGACCACACCTTCGGCTCTGTTTGGGGCCCTTCCTGTAAGGAGCGTACTGATGCCAGAGGCTGGGGGTGTGGAAGGGAAGCTGCTGTGCTGTTAGATCCATTCTGCTATTTAGCCAGCCTTCCTTTTCCCAGCTGGCACAGACAGGATGTGTTAGAGAGGTGCTCAGACCTCCTTTCAGAGCAACTGAATCATTCTCCAGGAGGGACAGGGAGTCTGAAATGCAAACAGGTTCCCAGGGTTATTGAAGAGCAGCCAAACTGAACACCCACTGCTCTGTGGACTCAAGCTGGTTTTAGACATTGTTTGGTCAGGACCAGAGCCGAGCTCTGGGGCCCACTGGGGGCTCTTGTCGCACCATATCATTGATTCTACAATGCACATTTCCCCCGCCTCTCATGTTTTAACATGTCTGAAATCAGGATGCATCTTCCATGGATGGTGTTTCAGGGTTTCATTGATCGTGTTTTTCTTCCTGAGTGGCACACAAAATTAATGGTGCTCCCTAGAGTTGATGGTCCCTGCGGTTCAGTGAACCGTGTTGCTCTTGTGTAAGCTCCTGTGGGAACATAGAGTCTCTGTGTCCCACCTTCTTCCTCGCAGTGGTCAGCACGGATGAGGTGGGAGTTGCATAAATGTCAGCATTCGAAAGTGAGGGCGTCTGTCGGTGCTGTCTCACTGTGGGGCTTCAGAGAACGTGAGCACCTGTGTTTGCATTCTCCATCAAGGTTCATGTCCTGTTGGCTCATAAGCATGATTATATCCATTATACAAACTGGGGCACAGGCACCCAGAGAGAAGTCAAAAGACTTGTTCAAGATGGACAACTAGGAAGTGGTGGGGACAGACCAGTCCTGTCTGATGCCAGATCCAGCGCTGTATCTGCCAGTCAGCATGCACACTTTCATCTCTCCAGCCTCTTCCCACTCACCTTTACTCAACATTTCTGGGCCTCCATAGTGATTGTAGTAATTCGGTAAAGATGATTCATTTCTTTAGTCCGGTCTTCGGACTTGACTTCTTAGAAGCAGGTCTTGTGCAATAGTTGCATATTAACCACTTGGTGACACAGTGCATGAGGGTATGCCAACTCTTTTTGCTCATGGCCGTGCAGTGCAGAATTTCCAGGCATTGTCCGCTCTGTTTCCTGGACTTCGGAGTGATAGCAAAGTTTTGTATTCCCTGATCAGCTGTGTATCTCTGAGCAGCAAGTTGATCTCTCTGTATAAGGGTGACTGTGCCCATGGAGGATGGCATGCAATTGCCTAAAGATTTCAGTCTGAGAATCTGAGAAACGATACTGAATGGAGATGACAGGCTTAGTGCCTGCTTCCAGGAGCCATGCCTCCTCCTGGCCTGGAATGAATACCTAAACACCTGAGGCTCTGAGTTCCGGCAGTGTGCTGAAACTGCTGTTGGTCTGGCCCACTGACCCGGAAACCCAGCCACCTGAGGTTGTGACTTTAGGGCTTCTAGTTTTGTATTTAGCTTTAATTCCATCTGTGAGGCAGTGGAGACTGTTCATTTTATTTTACATCAAAGGCTTTTGGAGGTTGAGATGGGAACAGGATGATAGAACAGTAATGCATAATTATGGAGCATTTGCTGTATGGCAGGCATTCGTAAGAGTGCATTTGTTGATATTATTGTTTGGCCTCTCCTGTCATTAGCCCTAAGCAGCTACACTTGCTAAGCTCTGTGCTAAGGCTGCAGTAAGCAGGCAGGCAGTGCGTGCTGGTGAGCTTGGGCAGTGCTGGAGTGTGTCTTGCCCAGTGTGGGGATGAACATACACCCTTTCATGCTCACAGGTGCCTTAGCCTGGATGATAATGTTTAAGTTCATTCTGTTTATATGCACCGTGTCATTAAACAATGCTGTGAAAAGGGCACTATTATTTCCCCCATATTTTCAGTGATAAGGCAGAGGCCCATGGGCTCCTTGTAGCAATGGAGGCATTCCTTGAGGATCCAGGCAATCTGACTCCCGAGTCCCGGGGCTGGACAGAAGGAAGCTGGCTCCGAGAGCTAGACTGCAGTGCAGAGGAATTCCACGCTCCGCAGGTGCTGTCTTCAGAAGTTGCATCTCGTCAGCAGGATGAGTGCTTTTGGAATAGACAATCTTAAATGTCATAGTGAGGTGACTTGCAGAGATAAGGAAGGACGCCAGCCTCAGGCACTGACTGATGAATCCAGATGGTGACTTCCTCCTTGCAGGAGAATCAGCCACTTACACAGACTGGGAGGGATTCTACTGAGGGAAAAAATGAATTCGCAGCCAGGGACAGTGGCTCATGCCTGTAATTCCAGCACTTTAGGAGGCTGAGGAGGCAGGAGGATCACTTGAGCCCAGGAGTTCGAGACCAGCCTGGGCAACAGAGCAAGATCCTGTCTCTACAAAAACAGAACAAACCAACAATTAGCCAAGTGTGGTGGCACACACCTGTAGTCCCACCTACTCGGGAGGCTGAGACGGGAGCATTGCTTAAGCCTAGGAGTTTGAGGCTGCAGTGAGCTATGATTGTGCCACTGTACTCCAACCTGGGTGACAGAGCAAGAATGTTAAAAAAAAAAAATTCTCATTTCTTCTCATGGACTTTGTGTGTGTGTGTGTGTGTGTGTGTGTGTGTGTGGTTGGTTGGTTGGTTTAAGCCATGGATTAAAGAAAGGAGAACTATTTCCTGTGACTAAAAGTGGTTTACATATTGGTGCTTTAGCAGGAATTTTGGAGGGTGGCTTAAGTGAATAATTAAAACAGAAATCTTCCTAGACGATGTTTATCACACTCAAGACATTAAAAATTAGAGTCAAGGGACTGCTAAGACTTGGGGTGCTGGTGGGTGAGGCTGCCTTTCAGGGAGGCCATGCTGTGAGTTGAGAATCCTAGGCCACCTTGCCTGCACTGCCAGCTTTGCAGCTGTGGGCACATCTGGATCCCCATTTCTGTGCGGGTGCAGACAGGTGAATGTTACCTGCGTGCATCATAAAATGCTGTGAAAGGGGTCACAGGTATTGCCCAGGCTTGGGCAGACTCATTCATAGGGCTCACTGGCTTGCATGAGAAGGGATGCTGGGCACGGTAAACACAGAAGGAGAAGGCAGGCTCTGCTGCCAGGAGCTTGCACCCTGAGCCACGTGGAACTGGTTTGCCTGTGAAGCAATAGGCACAGTCCTGAAAGAGCACAGTCCTGAAAGAGCACTTCTAATTGGGCATACAAGCAAGCTCATAATAAAGTTCTCCTAGGAAGTTTTCCTCATGTTTTGAAGATGATACACTTAGTCCCTGACTGGGGATGGTTTCGCTTACACTTTTTCAACTTTACGATGGTGTGAAAGTGATACACGTTCAGTACGTTCCTCAATTAACAATGAAGCTATGTCCCGATAAACCCATCATAAGTTGAAAATATCCTAAGTCCATAATGCACTTCTGATATAATGGTATTTTCAACTTACAGTGGCTTTACCAAGATGTGGCGCATTGTAAGTCGAGGAGCATCCATCCCTGATGGGATATATAAGGATGAGATTTATGCACAGATGTTCCTCAGCTTATGATGGGATCATGTCCCAGTAAAGACACTGTAAGTTGGAAACATCTGAAGTCGAAAATGCATTTGATATACCTAAGCTATCAAGCATCATAGCTTAGCCTCACCTGCCTTCATTGTGCTCAGAGCACTTAAACGTTAGCCTGCAATTGGGCAAGTCATATCCAAACAATGCTGACAGCACCGCACACTGTAGGGTATCAGTTGTTTAACTTCGTGACCGTGTGGCTGACTGAGAGCTGTGAATCACTGACATTGCCCGGCATTGTCAGAGACTATCCGACCGCATATCGCTAGCCCAGGATAAGAGCAGAATTCCAGATTTGAAGTACAGTTTCTACTGAAGGCATATTGCTTTCGCACCATCGTGAAGTCAGAATTGTTAAGTCGAGCCATGGTAAGTTGGAGACCATCTGAATAACAGGATGAGATGTAGAGCAGGATATATATGTTAGAAACAAAGTTTCGCGAACAGTGCAAACGTTTTCTAGATGGACTATCCTACTCTTCTCTATCTCATTAAACACTTTGCTGGCAGCAACTCACTGAGTTGAATTCCCGCTCCACCAGTAGCCTCCCCTGGGCGTTGGAAGGCTCTGCCCTCTGATGGGGGTCTCCCTGGGAGCTGCGGCTGCGGACCCCCGTAGATGGGATGCAGCTGCCCAGTGTGGTCCTTGCCTTTGCAGGTGAGCGGGTGCAGGGAGGTGCGGGGTGGGGTGGCGGCTGCAGCAGTGGTGGTTGGGGGCCCTGCAGGCTCCCTCGGGGTGTAGCAGGGACATGGTGTGGTGGTTAACAGGAGTAGGCCACTCATGTGGGACGTCAGGACTAGTGCCACAAAGGCAGCCCTGTCACACGAACAGGTTCTTGGGGGACAGAGGTCTGTCTGGGACTGGCTAATGACCTGGAAAGACTGGAGAGGCACCATTGTCCACCACCAGATGTATGGCTGCAGGGTAGGAGTAGACTTAAGAAGGAACACTGTTGGCTGGGCGCAGTGGCTCACGCATGTAATCCCAGCACTTCGGGAGGCCGAGGCAGGTGGATCACCTGAGGTCAGAAGTTCAAGAACAGCCTGGTCAACATGGTGAAACCCCATCTCTACTAAATATACAAAAATTAGCTGGGCGTGGTGGCAGGTGCCTGTAATCCCAGCTACTCTGGAGGCTGAGGCAGAAGAATCACTTGAACCTGGGAGGCGGAGGTCGCAGTGAGTTGAGAGATCACGCCATTGCCCTCCAGCCTGGGCAACAAGAGCGAAACTTCGTCTCCAAAAAAAAAAAAAAGAAGGAACACTGTTAGGGAGGCAGTCAGTGAGCCTCAAGTCAGAAAGACAAACAAGCTCATTTTATGCATTTGCTAACATTTGACCTCTTCTGGGACGCGTAGGTCTCTCAAGTTCTGTTTCTGTTTCCTGTCACGCAGATCAGAGATGTGAAACAGACCTGGTGTACACCCGTCTGGGGTAGCACTGGGAGCCACGGCGTCCTGGCAGAGCAGGTGTGCCTCCCACAGGCTGATGCAGCCGTTCTCTGTGCAGAGGCTGAGCCATCCTAGGAGCAGCTGTGGGGTGAAAGTGTCCTTCCTTAAACTTAGTGCTCCTGCTCATTCTCTCAGTATGGCTAATAGCTCATTTAAATATACTATGGTGGTTTTTAATTTTTGTGACTCATTCCCTCCCCTCCTCACCTGTGTTTTTCCTGTGTGTCAGGGACATTTTAGGGGGACCAAAAGGATCTCTGTCTCTGCTCTGTGCTTGCTCTGAGGTTGAATAGAGAATGTTCAGGGCTGTTCTTATTTGAGTCACTGGAGCTGTTGTGAGCTCTGACGGCCTGGGAGCCCCACTACTGTCACATGAGGACAGGGCGTGGGGTGGCTCAAGCATGGCCGCTTGGGGTTGGGTCCTAGTGCTGTCATGTTGGAGGTGTCTGACCTTTGCACTAAGTTTCCCCACTTACACTAAATGGGGATAATCAAAGCTTTGTGTGGGGATTAAGTGAGTTAATGTAACCAGAACACTTAGAATGGTGTGCTGCATACAGTGATAATGCAGAACTACTCACTGCTGCTGGAGTGCGCTGTTATATTCTTTATTAGGTCCTCAGACTTTTTCTATGCCTAAGCCTTGAGGGTCTCTCTCAGCTGTGCTTTTCTGTTTTTTTTTTTTTTGTCTTCAATAGATTTTTCTAGGGTCTTTTCTGGTAAAAAGAGACTGGGAATGCAAATACATTGAGCATGAGTTGAGAGGAGTTTGGACATCAGCCTGACCGTGGAAAACTGGGGAGGCGTGGAGTATATAGTTTCCTCTGGGTGGGTTACTGACAGACCATGGGAGTTCTGGGGAAAATGTATGCTCTTCTCTTTAAGTACAAGCCACCATTGCCAGGCAGAAGCTGATAAAGTAATTAGAATTGTTGTTCATACCTGACTTGCAGGAATGTGTGTGCGTGTGTCTGCATGCGTGTGTACGTATATATACTGTGCATGCATATTTGTGTGTGTGTACATACATATGTACACACTGCATGTGTCTGCATTTATGTACATATGGGCATGTGGCATGGGCATATGGCACATGCGTATCTGTGCATGCACACATGTACACAGCACACATGCACACATGCAGTGCATAGTATGCCTGCATGTACATGTGCGTACCATGCATGCATGTACCTACACGTGTGCATACTAATTTGTGCACACGTGCACACTGCAATGTGTACTTACATGCAAGCCTACGATATGTGTTTGCAGGCACATACATGTTCACACACTGCCCATGCACATTTGCATACACATGTGTGCATGGAACATATGCAGTACAACACAAGTGTGTTTGCATACATGTACAAACACACATGTGTATTTACCTACATTTCAAGGTGAACCCTCCCCAGAAGGCTCTGCTCAATGAGACTCTGAAAGTGTTCAAAAGCATGGTCTGAGAAAGCATCCCTCCTTCAGGGCATGTACCCAAGTAGTCTTTCTCTTGCTGGCTGAAATCATCAGGGATTGTTTCCAAGTTTTAACTTCTGATTTTCACTCTTTTAAATCCCAGAGCCGATACTTGAACAGAAGTAAGTTTGCTGTTACACCTCTCACTTTGATTAGCTTGTTGCGTTAAATTAATTGTCAGATTGCCTGAAACCAAAGCTTCTTAAAATGAACACTGGTTCACTCGGGAAATTTTTGCAAGATCAAAAATGGAAGACTGTGTCACTGATGAAAGGGAGAGATAGCCAGAATACAAAATCTAGAGCTTTGGACCTGAAATCTGGCTGCAAGATGGTTTTTTCCTGTCTTACCTAAGAAGTGGCCCCCAGGATTCACATACCAGTAGCCTCTTTTTGTTATTCTTTTTTTTTTTTTTAAACATATCCCCTTGTTAAAGATCCTCTTGATTGCAAGCAAAAGCAGCCTACTGTGCAGGCTGGCTTAAGCAGAAAAGGGAATTTATTGTGGGGACATGGTGGGGAGGTGTCTCATTACTGAGAGGAAGAAGGCTGGCTGGCCTCAGAAGGCATGAGAACTGGGACCTGGGTCCAGCCCAGTCCATGGTGGCCACAGCTGGATCTCAGCTCTGCTCCTCCAGGCCAGGTGGCTGCTTTCTCCTCTCTCTGCAGTGGGATTTTCTCTGCCCAGGACTCATGTGTCTACCTGTGGGTCTAATCTCCTAGCATAGGCTGAGCCTGCACCTCCTTGAGAAAACAGATTAGCTTAGCTTAGTCTGAGTGTTCACTCCAGGCGCACCCTGAGAGGGAGTGCAGCCTGCACATGGGGTGGGTAGTTCTTAAAGGGAGCCTGCCTCCAGAGGCGCCGGGGGAGGGGGGGGGCCTGCATTTAGAGTGTGTGCGTGGAGCATGTAGCTTGTTCCTGTTTTCATGGAGTCGCAGAGATCAGAAAGCATTTATGCCTGTTTCTGACAGAGATGCACACAGCTGGTCTGAATGGGCAGGATTGGGGTGAGGGCAGTGGAGGAGGGATCTGGCCACACAGGCAGTCTGCTGTGAGGGCCACTTCAAGCCACTCTTCCCTTGCTGAGCTGTGATTCGTTCTTTTCCAAGTGACTTAAACAGAGGCCTTTTCTCTTGTTTGTGGGGATGAGGATGGCGAAGGGAGGAGGAGGGAGAGGGTGGCTGAGTGGAGGAAGCGCAGTTGTGCTGCGGAGATTCCTGCTCTGCAGCTTGTCTGCTGTGGATTGGCCCAGGGGGTAGGTGGCACAGTGTGTGTGGCAGGGGGGTGGGGGGGACCAGGCCTGGCTCCGCTGGTCCACTCTTGGGCTGTGAGCCAGGACAAAATCTTATACCAAGCAAGCATCTTTTCCAGTAAAATAGAGTGTCTCCATGCCCTTAGGAACTGCCTGGGACAGCCTCATTCTGTCCTGGATTTTGTTCTGGGCTCTGCTGCCTGTTGAGCGTGGACCAGTGACCTCGTAACTGTGGCAGAGGTGAAGGTCTCAGCACCTTCTGTGTGCCCTCTTGCATGTGTGTTTGCCAGCATGCTTGGGGCTTTCTTCAGGTGTTTCTGGCCTGAGGAAGTGTCTTACCCCCATGTTATTTGTGTGGCTGCACAGCATCTGGAGGGAGGGATAGAGCCCCAGCGCTGGGCACATCGGATCTGTGCTCTGAACAGCTCTGTTGATGCCAGAGCTGCCTGACTTGCTCTGTGTGGTGCTGTGAAGGTCAGGCTTGGAGAGTGAGGAGCTGCTGAAAAAGGGTGAGTTTTGTTCTCTTCTTCCAGGGCTCAGTCTTCCTTGTACCAGTTTCTTTCTCTGTTCTTCTCTCCTTGACTCAGGAATCCAGTTTGCGCAGCACTTACATGGCGGGCAAACTCCAGTTTATACCTGGAGCTGCAGGGCGGAGCTGCTGTCAGCTGGGAGCTGTTATTGAGGAACAGCTGTGGTAGAGGTGGATAAGAAGAAGACCTGACCCCACCTGCTGGGGCAAGAAGCCTGCATAGCACAGCTAAACAGCCATGTGGGACAACGGCTGAGCAATGACAGTGGAACCCAGTGTCCCATGCAAAGTGCTCAAGAAGTGGACGGGATGGATCGCTGCTGAGTGGCTCTTGAGGAGCTCAGAGTATCTTGGGGCTGATGTTGCCTGTTGGGACTTTCCCCAGCACAGACAGCGTGCGGGATTTCAGATGCTCTTCTCCTTGCCTTCAGAAGCCCAGGGAGTGTTGGCAGCTTGTTTGCACCTGATCAGATAAAAGAGGTCATGATCTCTGTGAAGGTCTTTTCGGGGAAGGGGTCACTGGCCTTGCCAAATGTGGGAAGCGAGGCCTCTTCCCAGTTCTGCCTGTGACTCAATGGCTGTGGCTCAGGGCAAGTCATTGGATTTGTTTTTTGTTTTTTTTTTCAGAATAACGTCAGCATGTGCTGAGCATCTGACTCACGGGGTGAGGCAGTGAATGAAGGACTTCATCTCCGTGAAGTGCTTGACGTGATAGAATGAAAACCCTTGCGTTCCCAGCCTTGGCTGTCAGAGTCTCATTTTAAGGAAAGCCGTTTTTGACGTGTGTTTCCTTTCAGTTCGGAGCTGGCTTCTGTTAGGACAGGGGGTTTCTGCCCACTTAGCTGTGTCTCTGGTAATCTGAGATTCTTGGAAACGGGCCACAGTGATTCCTCTGGCCACATTCAGGGTCAGGTTTTCAGTTCGTCTTCCTGGTGTTTCCGCGCCTCATTCTAGGGGGAGGTTTAGTCGTTCCTTTCTCTGCTGTCCCCCAGTAGCTTCCGGCCATTCCTTGTGAAGGAATCTTCCTAAGTCAATTTTCCCTGGTGAAGACTGAGCCCTGGAAGAAGAGAACAAATCTCATCCTTTGTCACTTGGGAATTTCACTGGCGAAATTCAGTGAGGCACTTGAGGTTTGTAAATGGGCAGACGTTTCCCACACGATTACGTCTGTATGTTGGAAAGATATTTCTAAGTTGTAGTGAGGTAGGAGGGATTCTCAGCGAGAGGAGGGGCTTGGGCTGAACCCGGCACTGCTGGGACATGAACAGGGGAAACAGCGTTGGCGGTGGAGCAGGTAGACATTCCCTTGACCTCGTAAGTCCTGGATGCCACCCGGCGAACTGGCCTGCGGGCTGGAAATGATGCAGCTGACCCAGTAAACGCACTCAGCTCACCTTTTAGTCTGGTCCAGAACGCTGAATTGAGCTCTTGGATCTTGGTGCTAAATACGTGGTGTGGCATTAATGGCAGTAAAGATGGATGGTTATGTACCATGTAGAACGTGCAAATCTGTTTTCAATAGGCTTTATTTTTTAGAGCAGTTTTGGGTTCACAGCAAAATTGAGCAGAAGGTACAGAGAGTGCCTGTATACCTGCTACCCCAACATCCAGCTTCCCCTATTAGTTTCCCTTCGCAAGAGTTATAGTCCACAAACCTACACTGACACATCCTTAAGTCTCCCAAGTCCACAGCTTACATTAGGGTTCACTCTTTTTTTTTTTTTTTTTAAGATGGAGTCTCACTCTGTCACCCAGGCTGGAGTGCAGTGGCATGATCTCGGCTCATTGCAACCTCTGCCACCCGGGTTCAAGCGATTCTCCTGCCTCAGCCTCCTAAGTAGGTGGGATTACAAGCTCCTGCCACCACACCCAGCTAATTTTTGTATTTTTAGTAGAGACAGGGTTTTACTATCTTGGCCATGCCGGTCTTGAACTCCTGACCTTGTGATCCACCTGCCTCGGCCTCCCAGAGTGCTGGGATTACAGGAGGGTTCACTCTTGCTTTTGTACATTCTATGGGTTTGGACAAATGTACAGACACACGTCTGAGAAAATTGTGGGTTTGATTTCAGGCCATCACATAAAGCAAATACGGCAGTAAAGCAAGTCACACACAGTTTTTGGTTTCCTAGTGCATACAAAGTTATGTTTACACTGTATTGCCGTCTGTGAATAGGGCAGTAGCCTTATGCCTAAACAATGTACGGATCTTAATTTTAAAATATTTTATTACTGAAAAATGCTAAGGATCATCTGAGTTTTTAGCAAGTCGAGTCATAGTCTTTTTGCCCAGATGTTGATGGCTGCTGACTGATGACGGTGGTGGTGGTTGAAGGTTGAGGTGGTGGCTGCGACAGTTTCTTAAAAGAAGACAACAATGAAATTTGCCACATTGATGGACTCTTCCTTTCACAAAAGATTTCTTTGTAGCATGCGTTGCTGTTTAGCATTTTGCCCACAGTAGGACTTCTTTCAGAATAGGAGTCAGTTCCCTCAAACCCTGCCACGTCTTTGTCAATTAAGTTTATTCTGAATCCTTTGTTGTAATTTTGACATGCTCACAGCATGTTCCCTAGGAATAGATTCCATCTCAGGAAACCACTTTCTTTGCTCTTCCATGTCTTTTTCCAGGTTCTATCATGAGTTTGCAGCAATTCAGTCACATCTGTCGTCTCCACTTCTAGTTCTCTTGGTGTTTCCACCACAACTGCAGTTCCTTCTCCACTCTAGTCTTGAACCCCTCAAAGTCATCCATGAAGGTTGGAATCAGCTTCTTCCACGCTCTGGTTAGTGTTGATATTTTGATCTTTTCTGTGAATCACGAATGTTCTTAATGGCAACTGTAAGGGTGAATTCTTTCCAGAAGGATTTCACTTGACTTTGCCCAGATCTATAAGAGGAGTCACTATCTATGGCAGTTATAGTTTTACAAAACATCTTTCTTTTTTTTTTTGAGACAGAGTCTCGCTATGTCACCAGGCTGGAGTGCAGTGGCACGATCTCGGCTCACTGCAACCTCTGCATCCCAGGTTCAAGGAATTCTCCCGCCTCAGCCTCCTGAGTAGCTGGGATTGCAGGCACACACCACCACGCCCAACTAATTTTTGTATTTTTAGTAGAGACGGGGTTTCACCATGTTGGGCAGGATGGTCTCGATCTCCTGATCTCGTGATCTACCTGCCTCGGCCTCCCAAAGTGCTGAGATTACAGGCGTGAGCCACTGTGCCTGGCCACAAAATGTATTTCTTAAACAAGACTTAAAGGTTGAAATTACTGCTTGATCCATGGGCTGCAGAATGGCTGTTGTGTTACCAGGCATGGAAACAGTATTCACCTCCTTGTGCATCTCCATCAGAGCTCTTGGGTGACCAGGTGTGTCATCAGTGATCAGTAGTAGTCTTTTGACAGGAGTATATATTTTTTTTCCGAGCAGTCTCAACACGGACTTAAAATCTTCAGTAAACCGTGCTGTAAACAGATGTGCTGTCATCCATGTTCTGTTGTTCCATTTATAGAGCACAGGCAGAGTAGATTTAACATCATTCTTAAGGGTGCTAGGAGTTTCGGAATGGTAAATGAGCATTGGCATCAATGTAAAGTCACCAGCTGTATTAGCCTCTTACAGGAGAATCAGACTGTCCTTTGAGGCTTTGAAGCCAAGCATTGGCATCTCCTCCCTAGCAATGATAGTCCTAGATGGCATCTTCTTCCAATAGAAGGCTGCTGTAGGGTAGCCACCTTCATCAGGGATCTCAGTTAGATCTTCTGGGTAACTTGCTGCAGCTTCTCCATCAGCACTTGCTGCTTCACCTTGCACGTTTATGGTATGGAGGTGGCTTCTTCCCTTAAACCTCATGAGTCAACCTCTCCTAGCTTTCAGCTCCTCTTCTGCAGCTTCCTCACACACGGTTAGCTTTCATAGAATTGAGGAGAGTAAGGGCCTTGCTCTGGATTAGGCTTTGGCTTAAGGGAATGCTGCAGCTCATTTGATCTTCTATCCAGACTGCTCACACCTTCTCCGTATCAGCAATAAGGCTGTTTGGCTTTCTTATCGTTCATGTGTTCACTGGAGTAGCACTTTTAATTTCCTTCAAGAACTTTTCCTTTGCATTCACACTCAGCTAACTGGCCTTCCTCACTAAGCTTAATCATTATCAGCTTTTGATTTAAGGTGAGAGATGTGCCGCTCCTCCTTTCACTTGAACACTCAGAGGCCATTGTAAGGTTACCAATTGGCCTAATTTCAGTATCGTGGTATCGCAGGGAATAGGGAGGCTTGAGGAGAGGGAGGGAGATGGCAGAACAGCCAGTGAGTGGGGGAGTCAGAACACACACCATGTTTATCCATTAAGTTTGCCATTTTGTATGGTTCATGGTGCTCCAAAATGATTAGTATCATCAAAGACCACTGATCACAGATCACCATAAGATATAATAGTGACAAAGTTTGAAATATTGTGAGAATGGCCAAAATGTGACATATAGACATGAAGTGAGCACACGCTGTTAGAAAAAATGGCAGTGATAGACTTGCTCGATGTAGGGTTGCCACAGACCTTCAGTTTGTAAAAAACACAGTATCTGAAGCATATCAGTGTGAAGTGCAGTGAAGCAAGATATACGTGTCTGATGAAAGCATCCGCCTCACTCTGTTCTGGGCAGTGTCATATGGAATAGCTTCGCTGCCCTTGGAATTGTCTGTGTGCTCCCTGTTCATCCCTCCCAACCCCGATAACCACTGATCTTTTTACTGTCTCCATCACTTTGCCTATCCCAGAATGTTGGAATCATTCAGTATGTAGCCTTTTCAAATTGGCTTCTTTCACTTAGTCCTATGTATTTAAGGTTCTTCCATGTCTTTTCATGACTGGAGAGCTCATTTCTTTTTAGCACTGAATACTGTTCCGTTGTCTGGATATACCACAGTTAATCCATTTGCCTAGATGTGTCCATCATGACAAAGGACATCTTGGTTGTTTCACATTGTAGCAATTATGAATAAAGGTGTTAGGAACATTTGTATGCAGGTTTTTGTGTGGACATAAGTTTTCAACTCCTTTGGATAAATTCCAACGAGTGCGCTCACTGGACTGTATAGAAAGTGTATGTTTAGTTTTGTAAGATCCTGCCAAACTGTCTTCCAAAGTGTGCAAGCCTATTTTTTGACCAGGGCGGTTAGTCACACATAGCAGCCACATCTGTTGTGGTGCCTTCCTGGGAGGCCCCTCTCTTTTATAGTCCCATCAGTGCCACCATCTGCAGGGTCACCAGAGTCCCTGTAGGGCCAGAAGCACAAGTATGGCTGGTTCCTTATCTCCCTGGAGCCCTGGCTTCTTCCCACCTCTCTCCAGCCTCAACTATTTTTTGCCTTTGCCCTACGGGGACTGGCTGTCGGTTCTTCCCCGCGTGGCTCCTCCCCGCACTGTCTCGGTGGGAGCATCGTCCGGCCTTCATGCCCTGTAAGATGCGGTTCAGATGGCACCTCCTCTGTGACGCCCTTCCTCTCATCCTACTAGCCCAATTAAAAAAAGTTATTATAGTAAAGTTCAAATATATGTAAGTAGACTCAATAGTATAATGAACTCTGCCTGCCCCTCACCCTGCCTTTATCCGATCAGCCTATGGTCAGCCCTGTCCTGTCCATGACCACCCTGGAAATGGGCCCCAGAAATCATCTTATTTTACCTATAAATATTTTAGTGTGTGTCTCTAAAAGATAGTTTGAACTCACAGTACCATAAATCATACTTAAAAACAATTAACAAGTTCCTTAAGGGCATCCATATTTAATTATCGCTCAAATCTCCATTTGGTTCCTAAATGTTATACCTGTATTTATAATTTTTCTTAATTCAGGATTTATATAAAGTTACCGACTGTGGTTGATTCATACAACCTCTGGTTCTTGGAAAATCGGAGTTTTCTTTTTTCCCTCTGCTTTTGGTCATTTCATTGACTTGTGCGTACAGGTTTTTGTGAAGGGAGCTGGGAATCGCCTTACTGTTTTCCAGCCTGGATTTTGTGGCTTGCGTCTCCGTGGGGTAGTTTTCCATGTTCCTCCGTGCTCTGTTTCCTGCAAATGTGAAGTCGGGTGTAGAGCCTTGATGAGATTCCCATTTGATTTGTTTCTTCCTCTTTGAGGGATGGGCGAGGCTGCTCGCCACGTGGGGTCTGTGCTGCACTCTTGGACCTGGAGGCACAGGGCACTGGGTTTCTGTGGTGGAGGCAACCATTGATACTCAGTGTCTGTATCTCCTAGTTCTTTAGGCTTTCAACATTGTAACATTTTAATTCTATCTGCGAGTGTAATTTCTTTGCTAGGCTGTTTGTATAAAGAGAACTCCCCCCACCCCCACTATTTGTTTACCTGGTGGTACTGTCCATGGGGGAAAGATAACACCCATGTCAGTTTCTTCCTTTTATTTATCAGTTTCTAGTCAGTGGTAACCAGATAGGGCTTTTTGCTTGTTTGGTTTTATGGCATTATGTGGACTTACACATTTGCATTTCAGCTTATTCCAGTTATTATTATTAGGGTTCACATTTTCCCAGCTTTGGTCAGTGAAAGCTGCTTGAGGTGGGCCCTACATCCCATTGGCGTGATTGTCATGGCCTTTGAGGACCGTGTTGCTGTATACTGTGGTAAGATTCCCGGGGTCACATTGTCTGTTCCTGCCCCAGACCTGGAGTCAGCCTTTCCCAGAGAGCCCTGGTTCTCTGTGCTGGGAAGCGTTTGCGGTTCGCTATTGGGCTCAGGGCGGCCTGCTTTCCTGTTCCTCCCCTGTGCCCTCGGCACCTGGCCGGAGCATCTCCAAGCGTCTGCCACCATACACTGCAGTCCTCACTAGCCTCTTGCATGCGTTGGGGGTGGGGGTGGGGGTGAGTGGGCGGTGTTAAAGGCTACACCTGGGATTCTCCAGGCCTCAGCAGCTGGTGTTGTAAGGTTACATAGTAACAGTGTTAACCAGCTTGCCCTGTCTTTTCTCAAAGTTCCACCCATTCAGTTCCAGGGGTCCAGGACGTGCCTATCAGGAACAGCCCTTGGATGCCCTTGGATGCCTGCCTTGTGGATGTCATCTGCTCCCATGTCAGCCATCTCCAGGGCTCTTCCCGAGAAGAGGGCAGTCCCCGCCAAGGGTGTTGCCTCTCAAACCTGCCAAACTACAAACCCTCTTGGTACCTCCACACATCCCTGGAGTCGGCTTTGGGGAACACTGTGTTCCATGTCTAAGTGGAGTCCCGGGCCTCTCCCCTCCAGTGTCGCCTGTGCCAGCTGGACACGAAGCAGCAGATCAGTCATGAAAATGGCTGCTCAGCTCCGATCTGCCCTTCCTTCCGCAGGACTCAGGGACGCACAGCTCCCCAGGGCTGGTCACCCAAACAACAGCATTCCTTTCTCCTCGGCCTCTCCCCAGGCTGCTTGGGAGAGAAAACTTCCCTCATCCTCCTCCGCACACACTAAATGCCCTGCCGGTATCTTCTTTCCAGTGACTGTGGCCCCAGGTCGTCACACATGGCCAGACACAGCTGAATCTCAGGCTAGATCATGTTGGCACTGCTTCCACCCCTTGGATAAAATAAAATTCCCAGTGACTTCCTTAATATTTTGATAGGCTGAGTGGCTTATATGCAAACTTTGATGTAAACACTAGGCCAGAAATTGGTTAACTGTGGTTTAGGACTCCTAATCTTTCTCCGGATTTATTGAAAACATGTCTTAGAATGGTACGCACCAAGTGGTTCTCCCTGGTACTGCATCCTGCTGGCCACGTACCCTTTCCTGATGCTCCTCTGAAGGGAGGATGTTTAACGCAATGATCTCCAGCCAGTGTCCAAATGGCATAGAGCCACTTCCTTGTTGACATTCCCTGGGATCTGGAGGTCACTTCCAGCTCTTTCCTCTTTTCTGCAAGAGCCATGGTGCTGCACCTGCCTGCTGTGTGCTGGCACATGCCTGTGGGGTTGTGAAGGCTTTGTATGGGTCCCTGGACCACACCTGAGGAGGCGCTGTCTTAGTCCCGTGGCGGGCGGTGGGGCAGGCTCCCTGCACTGGAGGAAGCACCAGCAGGCTTTTGTGCGTGAACAGACAACTCTGTTGGCTTTCCTGCCCTCCCCTGTTTGCCTTCTTGATTTTTCCCTTCTCTTTTTGTTTCTGTCTCCATCCTGGTTGCATTCCCTCACTCCCCTCTTCTTTGTCCCTGCCAGGTTTCTGATGGGTTACTTCTTTGAGGAGGAGAACCCTACCACCATTCCAGAATACTCAAGGCAAGGTTTGAGGGGAGAATTAGGCGGATGTCCATTTCACAAGGCTTTGTTTTTGCCGAGGAGAACATCAGTGTCTGCCTTTAGTAGGTTGCCATCATCATAAGCAATAATAGCTGACTGTAACTCAGGGACTGTGCTGGGAACTTTCCATGCCCACGGAGTCAGTCCCTTCAGCAGCCCCAGGAGGATGAGTGCTTTTGCATACCCCACTTTGCATAGATCCCAAAAAGGGGACATTGGGACATTGGGAGCATCAGTAACTTGCTCGAGGTCACACAGCTAGAAGAGGGGAGGAGGGATTTAGAATGTATTTATTTATCTTATAACGTTTATTTTTTGATATATAAATTTATATTTCCCTTTGTAGTTTATTTAAATACTGTTATGCTTTTTTTTTTTTTTTTTTTCAAGGGACAGGGTCTTACTCTGTTGCCCAGGCTAGCCTTGAACTCTTGGGCTCAACCATTCAAGCCTCAGCCTCCCGACTAGCTGGGACTGTGGGTTTAGAATTTGAATCCAGTGTTCACCCTTCCTCCTGAGCGGTGCTGTACATTATGAACAGGTTGTTTGCCAGGAACTGGGATAATGCCATTTTCCTCATAAACCTTTGCCCCGCAAGCATGGGTAGACAGACAGCTGGTGCTTTCCTTGGTTATATTTGGCAAACTATATAACCAAACCAAACTTGATTATATTTGGCTAGTGGACCAGTTCTTTTGTAGTTGGTTAGAAAAGAAAAGATATCGCTTTCCCTTGAAAGAATTCATTCTCCATGAGATTGAGGTTCAGAAAATCTGTTAAATAAATCCCAAGCCCTGAGGCCTCCAAATCAGTGGCTGCTCCGCTGCTCCTCTCTCTCCCTCGACCTGGTCTCTCAGTGACCCCCTCATCTTTTCAAATCATAGCATGTTGGGACAAGTGTTCCAGGGAAGGCCTCTGTCAGTGTTTAGCTTACATTTCTTGGGTGTATCTTTTTGACAAAATTTTCCCCCCAGGGATAAGGAAACCAGAAAACCACAGTGGATCAGCGTGCAGGAATGCATAAGGGTGGCTCTGTGTGTGTGTGTGTGTGCATGTACATACGTGTGTGTGTGTGTTCATCCGTGTGTGTGTGTTTTCCTTCAGAGCATTTTAAAGGTCTCAGCTATTATTAACATGAATTTATTATCTATATTTAGGATAAGCCCACTAAGGATGATTTGGGATGAGCTGTGAATCTGTGGTGTATATATAGATCTCTGCACACGCGTATAGTGCATATTTATGTCTGCACGTACTCCTGGGCGTTGACATCTGCCTGTGGAATGCAGACATCTCTGTGCAGGGTTGTGGCCTGTCGTCTCTTGATTGGCAGTTGAAGTGTCCCGCATCCCCTTGTTATTAATAACTTGCTTGGGGCTACATTGAGTTGGGGATGTGCAGTAGTGATTTATCAAGACATTGTTATAAAGACACAAGGCTGGTTGTAATAGTCTAATCAGAACAAGTGTATTCAAAGTGGCGAGTTTCAAGCATGCTGTTTAGGAGACTTCACACTTATTTTCAGCGTTCAGAACATTGTTGAACCTCTGCTTTTGGCATCGTGGTCACAGCTAGTCTATGAGCCTTAGGAGAAATTATACTTGCCATTTGGTGCCCACTGTGAGTTTCTGACCAAGAACAAAATTTCCAAGCTTGATCACCTGCCTTATTCGTGACGCTTGGCTCCAAGTGGTTGTTAGCTGTTTCCAAAAAACAAATGTGCTTTAGAGGATGAACATTATGCTGTTGTCTCTGGGGGCCAACCCGTTAGGGGAGTTCCAGAAATATTTTGAATGATGACAGCATCATGGGAATACCAAGGGTCTCCCCAGGGGACTACTTTGAAGAGGGGCACATGCAGGTTGGTCATGTCTTTGTGTGAGTTCCAGGGTTCGAAAATAACTGACGTATACTGGTTGTGTATGTCTGTGTGT